>NT_187598.1:161083-322166 GCF_000001405.40 Homo sapiens
TGAGTTCCTTACTGAAGCAAAGACATTTTATAGATATTAATCAAATATTGATGTAAGTAAAATGCTCAAGATGAAGGCAATGTTAGAGGAGTTACCTTCTTGAAGTTGGGAATAGATAGTCTGTGTCATGTTAAACCATGTGGTATCATAATCATGCCAGAATCCACCAAAGGTTATGCCTATGTAAACACCTACCATGAAACAAAAGGAAAATTAAAGCCAGGCAACTTTACAAGGTGAGTCACCTTCAGGGGCAAGAGCCCAGAGTCCGTTCCAACTCCCTCTCAGCACTATGACTCTCACTTCCCAAAGCATTGGAAAGATGAAGTAACTTCAAGTTACACCACATAATATTAGCCAACCATCTGATTGACTCCTAGAATGATTACTGCTGGGAATAATATGCCCTTAAAATCAACCCTCTTAAGGTATTGGTTCATTCTCTTAAAATATCTTCCAAATTGTACTGTATCTTTTTTTACGTAGAAGGGCATCAGAATATGCCAAATATGCCACTTTAGTTTAAGGATTTTTTTTTTGACCTGAAGGCAATTGAGAATCAATAAGTGCAGTCTCTGCCCTCCCTTTATCTGCTTAAAAGCAAAGCATAAATTGCTCCTTTTACCAGAAAAAGAAGAGCATTTTTATCACTGGAGATAGGGAACCCTTATCTGCCATTAGTTCCCCTATATATTTTCTAGTCACAACTTCCTTACAGCTAATTGTTCCTTGATTCCTAAATCCACTTCCTTTGTGAAAATGGTATATAATTTCCTGATTTAACCACTTGATCTTCACTTCTATTTGTGAACTGCCATGCACATAAATAATAAAAAAAAATTGTGTGCTTTTTATCCTGTTACTCTGTTATTTGGGCTGGGCATGGTGGCTTACGCCTATAATCCCAGCACTTTGAGAGGCCAAGGCAGGAGGATCACTTGAGCCCAGGAGTTTGAGACCAGCCTGGGCAACATGGTATAACCCTGTCTCTACAAAAAATACAAAATTAGCTGGGCATGGTGGTGCATGCCTGTAGTCCCAGCTACTCAGAAGGCTGAGGTGAGAGGATCGGTTGAGCTTGGGAGGTCAAGGCTGTAGTGAACTATGATCATGCGACTCCAGGCTGGGAGACAAAGAGAGACCCTATCTCAAAAAAAAAAAAAAAAAAAAAAAAAAAAGAAATCTGTTGTGTGGATTTAATTCATAGAGCCCTATTCACTAAGCATAAGAGAACAGAGGAAAATTTTTCCTCCCTAACAGTACCCTTCTAAGCATAAAGATGCTCCTATTTCAGGAGTACAATTTTAGTTAATAATAATTTTTAAAAACTCCAAAGAAGAAAATTAAAATGTAAACTCCAAGACAGGAGAAACTATGATTTACTTTTTTATTTGTGATTTTAAAAACAGAGAAAACTTTTGCTAAAGTTTCACTAAAACCTTGTAAATGAAGAAGATTGAACACATCACAAATCCTAAAGTACTTTGTTCCCCAACCCCACCTTTTCTTGGTCATAGGTAGGAATGTCTAGAGTCTTTTGTGTTTTAAATGTGAGGTGCTGATCTGAAGTTTTGTCAAAGGACATAACTACTGGGCTGGGGAGGAGGGGAGGCTAAGGAACCTTGGCAATCTAACGCATATACTTTATTTCCAAAAGAGGACATTTGTAGAACGAGTCATATTTTGAAGTGTGAGTTTTAACTCTCAGCTCTTTTCTGTTTAAGGAAAGCTGTAGAAGGAAGTGTTATTTATTATTGTATACTTTTTCCAGGAAGAGGAAAACTAAAGACAAACTTTGCCTTTCTGAGAATTAAGTTTAGTTTTACAGATAATGGTGGGAATTTTTTTTTTTTTTTTTTTTGATAGAGTCTCACTCCGTCATCCAGGCTGGGGTGCAGTGGCGCAATCTCCACTCACTGCAACCTTCGCCTCCCAGGTTCGAGCAATTCTCGTGCCTCATCCTCCTGAGTAGCTGGGATTACAGGTGTGCACCACCATGTCTGGCTAAATTTTAGTATTTTTGGTAGGGACAGGGTTTTGCCATGTTGGCTAGGCTGGTCTTGAACTCCTGATCTCAAGTGATTCGCCCACCTCAGCCTCCAAAAGTTCTGAAATTACAGGTGTGAGCCACCACCCAGCCTAACGGTGGGATAGTTTAAGTGGGAATAATTATAGATGTCCAGCATGCTATCACATGACCAGATTCTTGCAAAAAAACACTATTTAATGGAGACATCATAAAATAAACACTTTATGCTGGTTAATATTTACAGACTAAAATTAAGTTACAGGCTACTCTCTGTGACAAACTATCCCAGGGCTTACAGAAGCTGATGCAGACCATTGTGAAAAGTTTAGCTTTTATTCTATTGGCAAAGGGAAGCCACAGGAGTGTTGGAAGCAGGGAAGTGATGTGATCTGGTTTATACTTGAGAACATCACTCTGGTGGGTGTATGGAGGCTGATTTGTATTGGCACAAGAATGGAAATAGAGAGACCACTTAAGAGGCTAATTAGTCTAATAAAAAATGTTGACTTGACCTAAGATTTTAGCAGAGAAGTGAGGTGGTCACATTGGCGATGGACCCTGGAGACAGCACAATCGGGGAATGTTGTGAGGGTAAGAAGCAGTCAAGAATGTGTCCTAGATTTCAGTTCTGACCAATTTAATACTAATTGGGATGAGAAATACTGGAGAGAAACAGATTTTTTGAGGGAGATGGATCAAGAGTTCTGGATCAGACTTGCTGTATTTGAGATGCTTATTAGCCATCAAGAAGAAATGCGTAATAGACAACTGAAGAGAGGAGTAGTTTTGTTTCAAAGGAGGGGTCAGCAGCAGCAATATAGATTTGGGAATCATCAGCCTGAAGATGGCATTACTGCCATCAGACTGGATTAAGTCTTCTGGAGGGAGAATGTGGTAACTTAAGGAAGGACAGTCAAAAACAAAGCCCTAGGTTTGCATTTAGGGGTCACACCAAAAAGGAGCCCTCCTAGAAAACTAAAGAGTGACCAATGAGAAAATATAAAGAACTTGAAAGTGGTATCAAGAAAGCTAAAAGAAGAAAGTGTTTTGAGCAGAGACTGGTCGACCCTGTTAAATGCTGCTGGAAAGGAAAGTAGAATGGGCATAAAAGACTGGCTGTTGGAACTGGCAATATGGAAACTGTGAGTGGCCTTGAGAAGAAATGTTTTAGTACGGTGATGGAAACCAGAGTCTGATTTGTAGTGGAAAGAAGATAAAATGGGAGGTGGAAAAACAGCATCATCTGCATTAAATTCTGGCCTTAAATATTTTTTTTTTGAAAGGGAACAGAGAAGTGGAGATGGAAGTAAAGTGAGATAAACGAAGGTTTTGTTTAAGATGGGGGATATTAGGGTATGTCTCTATCCTAACGGATACAATCCAGTGAGGAGGAAGAGTATGATGATGTTGGAGAGAAAGATGAGAATTGCACAACAGATGTAAGAGCAAGGTTGTTCAGATGGCTGCAAGGAATGGGATCCAGAACACAAGGGCTGAGGGGTAGCCTTTGATTGCAGCAGAGATATTTCTTACAGTGCAACAGGCAGTAAAGGCAAAGCATACAAATGCAGGTATGATGGCAGATTTCCAGTTGCAACAGTGGGGTTTCTATAATCAATCTTTATTTTCTCTGAAGTATTATATAAAGGCACAGCCAAGAGTAAGAGGGGAAGAGTATTTGAGGAGTGGAAAGAAGTGTGATAAATTTTGCAGAGTGGGAAAATAAATATACAAGCGAAGAGTGATAGGATTTATAGGCAGTACTCTTTATAGGGAGTACTGAGTGCCCACTTAAGATTCATGATCATGAATTTAGAGTGAGACTGGTCAGTGAAATGTCAAAATGAGACTAGCATGCAATTTTTCCCCAGCAATATTCTGCTCTTGCAGGGCAGGAGCAGAGATGGTTTTAGAGTTGGGGTTGGGCAGGCAAGGAGGAAAAAGAAGGGCAAGGGAGTTACAGAAGTATTTAAAAAGATGGGCTCTGAGAATTATGGTGAGAACAGAGGAAAATAAGGATGTTGGGTAGTGAAAAAAGTGATAGTGAAAATGGATTAAGGTCTCAATGAGATCAAAGAAATGTTGGAGTGTGAGTACTAGAACAGACAAAGAATAAGAGGCAGTGGACAGAGTGTACGATGCAGATACTACGGATTTCAGAGCTAATGACATTAGAGATGACAAGGTCAAGAGTTTAATCATTTACATCTTTACTCCATCTTGAGTTAACTTTTGTATATGGAGAAAGGCAAGGATCCAGTTTCATTTTTCTTTTGTGTATGGCTAGCCAGCTACCCCAGCACCATTTATTGAATAGGGTCTTTTCCCTAATGCTTATTTTTGTTAACTTTGTTGAAGATCAGATGGTAGTAGGGGTGTGGCTTTATTTCTGGATCCTCTATTCTGTTCCATTGGTCTATGTGTCTGGTTTTGTACCAGTGCCATGCTGTTTTGGTTACTGCAGTCTTGTAGTATAGTTTGAAGTTGGGTAATGTGATACCTCAGGCTTTGTTCTTTTTGCTTAGGATTGCTTTGGTTATTTGGGCTCTTTTTTGTTCCATATGAATTTTAGACTAGTTTTTTCTAATTCTGTGAAAAATAACATTGGTAGCTTGATAGGAATAGTATTGAATCTGTAGATTGCTTGGGCAGTATGGCCATTTAGATGGTAATGATTCTTCCAATCCATGAGCATGGACTGTTTTTCCATTCGTTTGTATCATCTATGATTTATTTGAGCAGTGTTTTGTACTCCTCCTTGTAGAGATCTTTCACCTCCTTGGTTAGATGTATTCCTAGGGGTGTGTGTGTGGTGGGGGGTATTGTAAATGGGATTGTGCTCTCGATTTGGCTCTCAGCTTGAATGATTTTGGTGTATAGGAATGCTACTGATTTTTCTACATTGATTTTTGTATCTTGAAACTTTACTGAAATTGTTTACCAGTTCTAGGAGCTTTTTGTTAGAGTCTTCAGGGGTTTCTAGGTATAAAATCATATTGTCGGCAAAGAGAGAGAGTTTGACTTCTTCTGTTGGATGCCTCCTTCTCCTATTTGGATGCATTTTGTTTCTTCCTGTTGCCTGATTGCTCTGGCTAGGACTTCCAGTACTGTGTTGAATAGAAGAGGTGAGAGTGAGCATCCTTGTCTTGTTCTGGTTCCCAAGGGAAATGCTTCCAGCTTTGGCCAGTTCAGTATAATGTTATCTGTGTGTTTGTCATAGATGTCTCCTATTATTTTGAGGTATGTTCCTTCAATGTCTTGTTGGTTGAGAGTTTTTAACATGAAGGGATGTTAGGTTTTATCAAAGGTTTTTTCCACATCTATTGAGATCATTATATAGCTTTTGCTTTTAGTTCTATTTATATGGTAAATCACATTTTTATGTTATTCAAAAAATATCAATAGCTTTTGGGGTACAAGTAGTTTTTTGTTACATGGATGAATTATGTAGCTGTGAATTCTGAGATTTTAGTGCAGCCATCACCCAAGTAGTGTACATTGTACCTAATGTGTGGTTTTTTTTATCCCTAGCTCCCTCCCAACCTCCTCCTTCTGAGTCTCCAAAGTCCATTACATCACTCTGTATGCCTTTGCTTGCTCATAGCTTAGCTCCCACTTATAAGTGAGAACACATGGTTTTTGGTTTTCCAATCCTGTGTTACTTCACTTAGAATAATGGCCTCCAGCTCCATCTAAGTTGCTGCAAAAGACATTGTTTCATTCCTTTTTATGGCTTAGTAGTATTCCATGGTATATGTATGCCACACTTTCTTTATCTGTTCATTAGTTGATGGGCACTTAGGTTTGTTCCACATCTTTGCAATTGTGAATTGTGCTGCTATAAACATATGTGTGCAAGTGTCTTTTTCATATAATGACTTCTTTTCCTTGGGTAGATACCCAGCAGTGGGATTGCTGGATCAAATGGTAGATCTACTTGTAGTTCTTTAAGGAATCTCCACACTGTTTTTCATAGAGGTTGTACTAATTTACATTCCAACCAGCAGTGTATAAGCATTCCCTTTCCCCCACATCCATACTGCCCAAAACTATCTATAGATTCAATGCAATTCCCATCAAAATCACAACATCATTTTTCACAGAATTAGAAAAAAAATCCTAAAATTCATATGAAACCAAAAAAGAGCCCAAATAGCTAAAGTATTCCTAAGCAAAAAGAATAACATTTCTTGATTTGCATATGTTGAACCAATTTTGCATCCCAGGAATGAAGCCTACTTGATCATGATGAATTAACTTTTTTTTTTTTTTTTAGATGGAGTTTTGCTCTTGTCACCCAGGCTGGAATGCAATGGCGCGGTCTCGGCTCACTGCAACCTCTGCCTCCCGGGTTCAAGAGATTCTCCTGCCTCAGCCTCCCGAGTAGCTGGAATTACAGGCACCCACTACCACGCCCTACTAATTTTTGTATTTTAGTAGAGATAGGATTTCACCATGTTGGCCAGGCTGCTCTTGAACTCCTGACCTCAGGTGATTTGCCCACCTCAGCCTCCCAAAGTCCTGGGATTACAGGCATGAGTCACCGTGCCCAGCCTTGAATTAACTTTTTATTTTTACTTTTTAATTTTATTTATTTATTTATTTTAATAATATTCATTTATTTATTTTATTATACTTTAAGTTCTGGTATACATGTGCAGAACATGCAGGTTTTTTGCATAGGTGTACATGTGCCATGGTGGTTTGCTGCACCCATCAACCCATCATTTACATTAGATATTTCTCCTAATGCTATCCCTCCTTTTGTCCCCCACCCCTCGACAGGCCCGGTGTGTGATGTTCCCCTCCCTATGCCCATAGGTTCTCATTGTTCAACTTCCATTTATGAGTGAGAACATGCGGTGTTTGGTTTTCTGTTCCTGTGTTAGTTTGCTGAGAATGATGGTTTCCAGCTTCATCCATGTCCTGCAAAAGACATGAACTCATTCTTTTTTTATGACTGCATAGTAATACGCTGCTGGATTCCTTTTGCTAATATTTTGTCAAGAATTTTTCTGTCTACATTCATCAAAATATTGGCTTCTAGTTTTCTTTTTTTGTTGTGTCTTTGCCGATTTTGGTATCAGGGTGATGCTGGCTTCATAGAATGAGTTAGGGAGGAGATCCTGCTCCTCAATTTTTTGGGAATAGTTTCAGTAGGATTGGTGCCAGCTCTTCTTTGCATGTCTAGTAGAATTTGGCTGTGAATTCATCTGGTCCAGGGCTTTTTTTTGTTCATAGGTTGTAAAGACATGGAATCGACCTAAGTACTCATCAATGGTGGACTGGATAAAGACAATGTGGCACACCATGGAATACAATGCAGCCATAAAAAGAATGAAATCATGTCCTTTCCAGCAACATAGATGCAGCTGGAGGCCATTATCCTAAGTGAATTAACACAGGCAACAGAAAACCAAATACCATATGTTCTCACTTGTAGGTGGGAGCTACTCACAGACCTGAAGTATGGCGACAATAGACACTGGGGACTACTAGCTGGGGGAGGGAAGGGAGCAATGGTTGAAAAACTAACTATTGGGTGCTATGCTCACTATCTGGGTGGTGGGCTCATTCATATTCCAAACCTCAGCATCACACAATATACCCATGTAACAAACCTGCACATGTACCTCCCCTCAAATCTAAAATAAAAGTTGCAATTATTAAATTAAAAATTTTAAGAAGAATATTGCCATAGGAGTAAGATAGGGGAAAGATCATTGGAGGACAGGAAGCCTTGAAGCTAGGTACTGCATGGATCATCCATATGGATGGTGAAGTCACCAAAAATAGTGACAAAAGTCAAGTGGAGAGGAAGGCAGGGACCCAGAGATTAAACTTGTAAATGAATGAATGTGAGCGGTGAGGAGGTCACCAAATGCTGGCAACCAAGAAAAGTTAGAGGGAGGTAAAGTCTGAGTTCAAAAAAGCTCCATGTTTCAAACAAGAGGACAGGAGTAGTGATTAAGCAGTAATCCTAAGGAGCAAAGACAACAACCCTCACCCTGGGTTTTGAAATATGTGATATGTGGGAGGGCTGAGGGGAAAGAATGTCATCTGAGGATGACCCAGTACTCTTTATGGAAAGAAAGTTAAGGGACCATTCAGAGAAAAAGTGAGTGATATGGGGGAATTTGTTAATGACAGGCCACAAATTCTAATGAAAGGATTTGGGTGGATAGAGCGGGATAAAAGTTTGAATCAAATTAGAGGACATTCAGAACTGTATGTGGGATAGGATAACCAGAAATGATCTGCGGAAGCTTATGTTCTGGTAACTGATGGGAGGCCTGATGGTTTATGTCTTAAGAATATCCTAGAGGAGGAAAGGGGGTAATAAGTCCAAATTGGAGTACATGGGGCTGCTGCATAGCTGTTCCCACCATTAACTCCATGTGGTATGAAGGCCAGGAGGACAAACAAGGCCTCGCAAAGGAACTGCTAGTTGGGTGTGGTGGCGTGTACCTGTAGTCCCAGCTATGTGGGAGGCTAAGGTAGGAGGATTGCTTGAGCCTAGGAGTTTGAGGCTGTAGTGAGCCATGATTGTGCCTCTGCATTCCAGCCTGGGCAACAGAGAGAGACCCTGTCTCAAAAAAAAAAAAAAAAATTGCTGATTTAGGCAGTTGCAGCTTGATACTGTGAGAACTTCCTTTATTGCTTCAGCACAGTGGTGACCAGTTGGGGAAAAGGTGCTTTCACCTAAAGAACCTGTTGCTGAAGTTGTTTGTTTTCTTGAGAGGTTGAGGTGGCCTCATGAGTGTGATCCCAAGGAATTAAGACTGGCGCTTCTCTCCCATGACTTTCATTTGTAAGGCAGAATCAAGCATGAGGAGTTCAGAATGACCGCTCTCCTATGGCTCACAGAAGTAAGGTAGGTATTGGTGTTTGGATAAAGACGAGGAGGAGGAGGTCCTGGCTAGGACCTATTCACAGAACAACATAAGAAAAGGAGCCAAGTTTCTATCTGGATTGACATAGTGTAGAATATGACAGCAGAGAGTGGAAAAAGACACAATTATTAGGTTGGTGCAAAAAAAATCGCGGTTTTTGCCATTAAAAATAATTGCAAAAACCGCGATTACTTTTGCACCAACCTAGTAAAACTAAAGGAATTCCACAGAAGCAGACTATAAGCCATTAGGAAGTCAAAGAGATTTGGGCAAGGTTATTTGTCTATCCCTATACTGATGCATACTGTTTTAATCTATTGCTTTATAATAAGTCATGCTAGGACAAATTTTTGTTTTGTTTTTTTTCTCTAAAATTATGTTTGTTATTCATGGTGTATCATTCTCCCATATGAATTTTGTGTTTGGCTTGCCAATTTCTACACCCTCCCTGACACAAAAAAGAAAACACACACACACACACACACACACACACACAAACCAAAAACATTGTTATAATTTTTCTTGGAATCATATTGAATTGATAAATTTGTAATACATTTTATTTGTAATAAATTTATTTATAAAATAAATCTTTATAATACCAGAACTTCCTGCTTATAAACATGAAATCTCTTATTTATTTTGGTCTTTTTTTATGACCTTCATTAGTTTTATAATTTCTACACAATAGGCCTTGCAACTCCTTTTTTTATTCCTGGGTACTTTTTGGGATTTCTTACCTTAATAGGATTTTTTAAATTATAATCTTTAATTAGTCCTTGGTGGAGTGATTTTTATACATTGTTATTCTATCTCACAGCCTTCTAGCATACCCATATTTGTTCTGAGTTTTTCTACAGATCTTTTTGGATTTTTTTGTAGGTATACATATTATCTACGAGTAATAAAATTTTGTTTCTTATTTTTTAAGTTTTAAATATATTTTCCTTTATATTCACTGAATTTGGGGTCTAGGAGGTCATCAATTAGCTAGGAACAATAATTAAAATAATACTATTAGTAGTTGAAATGTGTAATGACATTGTGATATTGTGATATAACGAGAAATACGTATTTGGTTTTCGTCCCTGGCTCCTGATAGAGAACTCCTAAAACCTCCAGAATTTCCTGCATGATGGAGTGCTAGGAACATCCTTTGTTATAACATTTGGTCTTTGGCCCCAGTTCCTGATACAGAACCCCTAAACTCCTTGGAATTTCCTGGGTGATGGGATTGTCTTTTGTTCTAATGAAGCAACTCCTGACAGACTCCCAGATACCTTTAAGATGTGGGGTGGTCACCAGTAAAAGCAAGCCACGATTAGAAGCTTAGAGCCTTCAGCCCCACAGTGCATCTCCCAGGAAGTGGGGAGGGTGTGGAGACTGAATAAATAATTGATCAATGCCTATGTGATAAAGCTTCTCCTTACAGTGCAGGTTTTGGAATGCTAAAACACATCTACATACCAGGGGTGTGGCGTGTCACAACTCCACGGGGACAGAAGCTCCTTTTCTTGGGAATCTTCTGGACCTTGCCCAACTGTTTACTGTATCCTTTGTTTTGACCTTTATAATAAACTGGCAAACCTAAATAAACGTTCCCCTGAGTTCTGTGAGTTGTGCTAGCAAATTATTGAACTCAAGGAAGGATTTGTGGGACCTCCCCAAATTATAATTAGTTGATTAGAACTACAACCTGGGACTTGTGACCGGCATTTGAATTGGGGGACAGTCTTGTGGGACTGAGCCCTTAATCTGTTGTTGGCTGGAGAGGGGGGTCTGTGCTAACTCCAGATAGCTAGTGCCAGAATTGTATTAAATCATAGGACACCTACTCGGTCATCCACAGAGAACTGGAGAATCACTCGGTGTGGAAAATCCATACATTTGGTATTAGAGTGTTATGAAATGGATATAGAGAGAAACAGTTGTTTCTTTCCCTATATAGATGCTCTCAGATATTACAGTAGTAATGAAAAAAATGCAAACATAAACTAAGTAATGTGGTATTTCAAGAACAAAAATACCTATTTATACATGGTAGGAATAGCAGATAATCTCTGGGAGAAAGTAACATATTAATGGAGGGCATGGGATAAATGAAATTAGGAGACACACTAAAGTCACAATTAACATGGCAAAAAGTCACAGTAAGAAAACATACTTAGTATATCATACTTGGAAGTAGACAAGATACAGTATTGAATAATAAATTTTTAGGTATTTTTAGGAAACAATTTTCCTTCCCTATGTCTATGCATTTATTTCTGCTGCCAGTTAAACATTACTGTTACAAAATATAAAAGGCCAATGTCAACATTTAATGAAGCTGTAGACCTACCATCAACTATTGTATCCACAATGAAGCCTAGTAATGCCACATCATTGGCACAGGGGCATTTTGTCACTTTGAGATCTACCACATGTGGATATAATTTACTGATTTCACTTTCTGGAATCACATCCCCAGGAGTCCACTGAAGAATCGGTTCTGTGGAAATCAAATTTGGGTGTTTAAATTGTGGGAGCACCCTTGAAAATGGATGCTACTTTCCTTTAAAGGTTTTAAAAGAACTATGTAAAGAAACTATTCTATAGTTCAAAAAAGGTGCATTACCTCACTCTGCATTGGTTAAAAATCAGTCAGTGACTATTTTCCAGGATATAAGGAGTAAAGTCTAATTCCCCTTGGTGGGGGGCTGGCAAGGTTACATTGCAGAAGAGCATGTGGAATGAGAGAGATTGCTTTGGCCACATTTGAAAAATACCATTTGCCACAGGATCTATCCCTAGAAATGGAATTGCTGGATCACAGAATACGCACATTTATAACTTCTGAGCCCACTCATTTACTTTTTGTTCTCTTCCCAATCCCACTGAAATAGCAGTAGATATATAAAAATGGGAATAAATCCAGAGTAGCAGTGGAGAACAGGGACAGTTATCATTAGTGGCCAAGAGACTGAGAGGGATTTCTGGAAGGTAGTTGAAAAATACTATTTGCCACAGGATCTATCTGTATAAATGGAATTGCTGGATCACAGAATATATTTATAACTTCTGCTTCTAGAGCCCACTCATTTACTTTTTGTTCTCTTCCCAATCTCATTGAAACAACAGTAGGTAGATGAAAATGAGTAAAATCCAGAGTAGCAGTGGTGAACAGGGACAGTTATCATTAGGGGCCAAGAGACTTAGAAGGATTTCTGCAAGATAGAAGTTGGGAATGAGATGCAGAAGAGAAAGCAATCAGAGGTGAAGCATCTCCAATGCAGCACAGGCAGAATAGCAGCACTAGTGGTGAATAAGGTCTTTCACGTGGCAAACCAGGCCTTCCAGAATCTGACGTCCTCTTGGTTCCTCAGCTTTACTTCTTGCCAGAACTGGCCTCCCATTACAGGCTCTAGTTTGTGGGGCTTTGAATATCTGTTTTTCTCACAACCCTATTTTTCAGTCCTCAATGTGAATGTCTCCCTCTTTGGGAAGCCTTCCATGACGCCCTAGAATGAGTGAGGCTCTCCTCCCAGGTGCTCCAATAGGACTCTGCACTCACTGTAACTAGAAGAATCAGGGTACACTCTTCCTCACCAGACCAGGGTAGACAATGAGCCTTTCGAAAGAACGTCATCAGACAAGGCGTCACAAATTTTAAAACTTAAAATATTACTTTTGGATATGCAAAGGATTGGAGCTAAAGTCGAATTTTCATGCATTAATAAAAGGGAGGGTTTTTTTTCTTTTAGAAAAAAATGAGAAAAAAAAGAGTACAAAAAGTAAGCCAGGGCAATTTGAAAGACAACTGCTGTCTGAATTTCAAAAATAGTCAAAGGACTTTTAAAAGCAGAGATAACTGATAACCAGTTATTTAGCTATTTACATTCTCCTCTGTCTCCCCAACTTTCAATAAAATCTGCTACAAACCCAAAGACTTTATGTGATATTTTTTTCACTTTGTGCAAAGCAAGAAAACAAGCTAACTTTTCATCTGGGTTGACGTAGTGCAGCACAAGGACAGCCAAGAAGGGAAAGAGACACAATCTCTAACTACACTAATTCACCAGGAAGTCACTCCAGAATTCAAAGAAATGTGGGGCAAAGCAGCTGACGTTGCAGGGTATAATATTTGTTTGCAGACCATTCACACCCAGGTCAGGGAGATTTCAGCTTACCACTGGACATCACGGAGCTGACAATGCCCCCCTACTTATATACAAGTTCCTGAAGTCAGGTAGTATATCTTAAGCATTTTAAGAACAAGGAACTGATTAAAAGTTTTGACTGCTACTAAGAAGCTAAAAAGGGGACAGAAAAGTGACCAATATGAAGGTCACTGGTGACTGTGATTAGCAACAGTTTGAGTAGCGTGGAGGAGATGGAAACAAATGAGTGGTTTGGGGTGTGGATTGGATATGAAGAAATAGAGACAAGGTTTTACACTCTCTTTTGAGTTCAGTAGTGAATAAAGATTTCTAACTCTAGCCTTAACTCTTGATTCCTATTTCCCAGTGTCTGCTTCTCCTGTCTTCAGCATTTTGGTGAATGATATCATCCTCTACTTGAATGCTTGAGTAAGAAATCCAGGCATCATCCTTGTTAATTCTGTTTTCCCCCATCTTAGTCCACCAAGAAGCCATAGCAGCTCTACTTTCAAAATCTATTCTGAAGGCTCTGCTCACCACCTCCACTGCTAATGCTACTGTCCATCTACTCCAGACCTTCTCAAGGGGACTATTGCAACAACTGCTACCAATTTCCTTTATTCCATTCTTGCTATCCTTCCTCAAGAGTTATTCTCTACATAGCAGCCAAAATGGTCTTTTCATTATAAAAGATAAATCAGAATTTATTAGTTCTCTGCTTAAAATACCCCAATGGCTTTAAGTTATAATTACAATAAAGTCCACACTTTTTACCAAGATTCCTGCCAGCTTCTCCAAACTCATGATCCACCACTCTGTCATTTACTATGCTTCAGCAACACTAGTCTCCCTTTAGTTCCTCAAACAGATCAATCTCATCTCCACATCTGGAGCTTTCAAAGATCTACCAATTTGTGAAGCTTTTTGCTGCAATTATACCTCAGTACATTCTAAACAAATGTAAGTTAGCATTTCAGATCTTTTAAAAATTGATATAACAATTTTATATTGATATTTCAGTAGTTAAAAAGTAGCATAGGATATCAAACTATCAGAGTCCCAAAGACAGTATTGCAATTACTATTGAATAATTAGTAACATTTTTTTTTTAATTTGGAAGCTACCTAAAAAACTACTTACTTTTTTGGAATAAGTAAATATAATCAACTTTATAAGCCATTGTTTATAATGACCCTCAATGTGGCCACAGTAAAATATGTACTTCCTTTTTTTTTTTTTTTTTTTTTTTTTTTTTTTTTTTTTTTTTGAGACACAGTCTCACTCTGTTGCCCAGGCTGGAATACAATGGTGCAATCCTGGCTCACTGTAACCTCTGCCTCCTGGGTTTAAGCGATTCTCCTGCCTCAGTCTCCCAAGTAGCTGGGACTACAGATGTGCATCACCATGCCTGGTTAACTTTTTTTTTTTTTTTTTTTAAGTAGAGATGGAGTTTCACCATGTTGGCCAGGCTGGTCTCAAACTCCTGGCCTCAAGTGATCTGCCCACCTCGGCCTCCCAAAGTGCTGAGATTACAGGCATGAGCCACCATGCCCAGCCTGTATTTCCACATTTCTATAGCACTCTTTGCAGATCTTTGTTAATAATTTATCCACATGTATTTAATTCTTTATCCTATCAGATTGTGAGTGCCTCAAGGGTCATGATTATCTCCTATTTATTTATTTATTTTTAATCTCTAGGACCTTAGCACAGAATCTGGCATATAGCGGATGTCAAAGTTTGTTGAAAGAATATATGAATTCCATTTTACTTCTGTCTGTTGGCATTTACCTCGAATAACATCCAATAGAGTTCCTTCAGTAGCATAAATATTTAGTCCATGATGTAAAGTGATTCTTACTAACCATTCTTCTACAGCTGCAATATCTGTTTGAAAACAAAAGGCAAATAATCAACTATTTTTTCATATGTTGTGTTTGGTGAAATTTAAGGATATGTGAACATTACCAACAATGATAGCCTTTCCTTTTCCAACCATTTTGTTGGTATTTATATGTGAAATTTCATACGTTTTCCCTATAAACATTTTGCTCATAAAATAATGGAAAAAGAATTATGAAGTGATCTTACCACCATAGCAATGAATCTAGATACTAATATTTATGTCATAATTTTTCTCCTAGAGCTGTAGGGGCTTGATAAAAAGCAAATTGTGACTCTTCTTGTGAAGCAGACCATGATTAATTAAAATGTATCATACAAACCCTAAGGTGAACAACAAAAAAAGCTTTTAAGGTATAACTAATAAGCCAATAGTGGAGATAAAATGGAATCATAGAAAAGAATTAATATGAATGAAGACAGAAAAAGAGGAGAAAAGCAAAACAGAGAAGATTGAACAAATAGAAACAACCTGCAAGGTGGTAGATTTTAATATAACTATCCATATCAACAATTACATTAAATGTAAGTGGTCTAAAATATCATCTAAAAGACTAGATTTGACAGATCAGGTGTAAAAATCAAGATTAAACTATATGTTATTTATAACAAACTTATTTTAAATGCAAAAGCATAAATAAGTTAAAAGTAAAAGAATGGATAGGGCCTGTGGAAGCCAACAGCAGTAGCTTTAGCCTGGGAGCTGCTGAAGTGGCTGTAAGCACAGGCCAAGGCTGAGGTCGAAACTGAAACGGGGGTTCACTCATGAAGAACACACCTGGTCAAAATGGTCTGGCTGCACAGGCCCTCATGTCCACCCAGGCATCTAGGCAGGTCTGTGCGCTGTCATGGCAAGGCCATGGCTACACTGGTGGCTACTAAAGCAGCCAGTGCCCAAGTACATCAATTGCTATCTGTGCCTCTTGCTGTCACCACTCTCCATCAAGAAGTTCCTGGACTTTGGGAGAGATAATGGCTACAGAGAACATCATATATGATTTCACAAAAGGAGATTCCCGTGCTACTGGCTAACACAGTGAATGAAGCCAATTTTCTGCTGGGTAAGTGGTTTAACAGGCCTTCAATGGGATTGGTTCAAAGTTGGTATATGCAGAACTTTCTTGAAGTTTTAGAATAGAAAAATAAGGGCCAGGC
Source organism: Homo sapiens (assembly GCF_000001405.40). Classification (NCBI taxonomy): domain Eukaryota; kingdom Metazoa; phylum Chordata; class Mammalia; order Primates; family Hominidae; genus Homo; species Homo sapiens. The sequence goes on from NT_187598.1 coordinate 177,202, forward strand.
ATGGTGGCTTATGCCTGTAATCCCAGCACTTTGGGAGGCCGAGGCGGGCAGATCATGAGGTCAGGAGATCGAGACCATCCTGGCTATCATGGTGAAGCCCGGTCTCTACTAAAAATACAAAAAAAAAAAAAAAAAATTAGCCGGGTGTGGTGGCAGGCATCTGTAGTCCCAGCTACTTGGGAGGCTGAGGCAGGAGAATGGCGTGAACCCAGGAGGTGGAGCTTGCAGTGAGCCGAGTGAGCCACTGCACTCCAGCCTGGGCAGCAGAGCGAGACTCCATCTCAAAAAAACAAAAAAAAAGAATATAAAAATAAGAGCCCTGAAGATCCACAGGTCTTAGATAACTTTCAATAAGTACTGATGAAAGCCAGAAAAATGTGGTTTCTATAGTGGTACATGGAGTGATTGAACATAAGAAAAATTATGTGTTTGAGTCTTTTATTAGCAGTACAGCCAGTATCTTCCAGAATGGTTTTGTCCCAACTCCATTTCTTCCCACATGCTTATTAACTAGCATGCACTTCTGTTTGATGGTGACACTATCCCTGCTCATTCTAAACACAGAAGAAGTATTGATCTCACCTGTAATGTGGCTGATATAGTGAACAATGTATATGAAACAGCCAAGAGGCTGTGTGAATAGTATTAGCTGGTAGCTCCAGAGGTGGAATTTGAAGAGTTCAATGCCAAAGCTCCAGACAAACCTATTCGAGTAGTTTATGTGCCGATACATCTGTTATACATGCAATTCAAGAACTCAACGAGAACAACAGTAGCACTCCATGAAGACAGAAAATAGAGATACTTGGCTGTTAAAACCTTTGTTATTTGGGTTAAAAAAAAAGATTTCTTCATTAAGTGACTGAGGTGGTGGTGTCTCACTTTGAAAATGTATCTTTTTTAAACTATATGTATTCAAATTCTAATAGATATAGCTGTAGCCCATAAGAGTTGTCCCTTTGGCTGGATTCAGTTAAAATTCACCATTTTTTTTCATCTGCATGCCGTATATTTTTAAGGAGATCTAATACTATGTGATGGAATGAATGGGTATTGGTGCTGTCTCTTATTTAAAGGCTGTTTTAAGTGAATCATTTGAGAGACTTCCAGTTTTTAAGACCTCTACTTGGCACTATTACAAAACTACACCTGATGATTGATGTGATACTAGCAGTAAACCCAGAGATGCTTCAAAATATAAGACTAAACAGGAAAAGGTCAGTACTGATAGAACTTTCTAGTCCTCTATGTGAAGAAAGATTGTCTTTTGTAAGTCAATCAGAGAGAACGCCTTTCTCTACCAACTCTTGAGCATGGCACCATAACTACTCCAGTGGCTGAATGTTTATTTCCTCCATGCCAGCTGGATATTTTCATGGAGCCTTTCCTGTAGCCACTCTGGCTCTTCCATTAAACTAGTAACTTGAATAATTTTTTTTACCATATCTTGCTGTGGTGTGGTTAGTGACACAAAGAAAGAGCTTCTCTAGAGCTCTAGCATCCTCATAACCTCCACCTCATTATTGTAGAGTTGAGTGTCTACAGTCTCCACAGGATTCTGAACTTTCTTCCCATTCTGGATGTAGCATATACCCACTGTGACCAAATATAATGCTTGTCTCAAACCACTGATTAGGGGCTCAGCGTATGTGAAACTTAAAGACATCAGCTGAGTCCATCTGATAATTCAGTGCCAGGGTCCTTCCTTCCTCATATGCATATCTCCTCCACTGTCTTAGACTTTTGTCTTCCTCCACCTGATTATATTTTCATCATGAGTTATGGGTACTTTTGTGTTAGAGCTTACTCACTGATGCACTGGTTTTATTTTATTTATTGATTTTTTGAGACAGAGTCTCTGTCTCCCAGGCTGGAGTGCAGTGGCGCCATCTCAGCTCACTGCAACCCCCACTTTCTGGGTTCAAGTGATCCTCCTGCCTCAGCCTCCCAAGTAGCTGGGATTACAGGCATGTGCCACCACACCCAGCTAATTTTTGTATTTTTAGTAGAGACAGGTTTTCACCATATTGGCCAGGCTGGTCTTGAACTCCTGACTTCAAGTGATCTGCCCACCTTGACCTCCCAAAGTATTGGGATTACAGGCATGAGCCACTGCACCTGGCTGGTTTTAAGATTCATTTGTGCACTTCCATTCTGCTGATGAAAGTGTTCCAAAAGTTGTTTTGAATAAAAGGTGAAAGGATGAAAAAATATGACACTAATCAAAAGAAAGCTGTAGCAGCCATATCAATATCTGACAAAGGAGAGTTCAGATCAATGCAATATCAGAAATAAAGAGGGACAATACATATGACAAAGGCATGATAACCCTAAGTGTAGACATGCTTAACAACACAGCTTCAAAATATGTAAATCAAAAGTTATGTCAAGAGTACATGGGGCATCTACTAAATAAGCCATAAAACACATTTTAATAAATTAAATTGCTATCACATGAAATATGCCCTCTAAACATAATGGAATAAGCTAGAAAAATCAATAACAGAAAGACATCTGAAAAATTCCCCAATATTTGAACATTTTACAACACACTTCTAAAAAACCATGTATCAAAGAGAAAGTGCTGTGGGGAATTAGAAAATATTTTTAATTGAAAGAAGAGGAAAACACAACATCACAATTTATTGGATGCAGATAAAGCAATGCTTAGAGAGAAATATATAGCAGTAAAATACTTGCAGTAGAAAAAAGAAATCTCAAATCAATTACAGTAAGTTCTCACTTATAATCATCAATATGTTCTTGGAAACTAGGACTTTAGGCAAAACAATGTATAAATAATGAATATAATTGTATAAATAATGAATAGAAACCAATTTCACAACAGGCAAATTGATATAAACAAGAGTTAAGTTTCTATGGCATATATCTGGTCACAAAAGCATCACCAAACTTCTAAATAAAGACCCCAAATTCTTCTAATATTAAATATTAAAATAAATGTGAGCTATGCATAGATTTTAAAAAGATTAATAAAAACAAGTAAGATAATTACTTACCCAATTTTTGGTGAATCAGTAAGTAATGGTAGTCATAGCGGTGGTGGATTAAATAAAGGAATAAATGTTTGCAAAGCAAAAACTGTAAGGAGCATCCTCTACCACTTGCAGTTATAAAACAATAACAAACATGGCAGGCTAACTGAGGGCTTTTGTATTGCATCGTTTACTGTCATGCATTTGTTTGTATGATTATCGTATACTTAATAAATTTTTACTTTATAATAATTTGTAAGTATTCATTCATTCATTTTCTAGCCTGCTTATTTCAGTTCAGAATCAGGGGAGCCTACTCCAGCAGCTCAGGAACAAGGCGGGAACCAACCCAAGATTGAACGCCATTTCTTCACAAGGTGCACTTACACACACACCCAAGCTCAGTCATACGGGGACAATTTAGACACACCAATTAACCCAACATGCACATCTTTGGCTGTGCTAGGAAACTAGAGTACTCAGAGAAAACCTACGCAGACATGGGGAGAACACGAGCACTCCACACAGACAGTGGCCCTGGCCAGGAATTGACTTTTCTTCCTCATCAATATTATAATGAAATGATGTTGAATGAAATGAGGTTATTCGAGGATCTGCTGTATATGAAGCAGGCTTTGGAAGATAGTAAAGAGTTTGTAAAGGGTCAGATAGTAAATATTTGGGGCTTTGTATGTTATATGATATCTGTTACACTACTTCAACTATACCACTGTAGCATAAAAGCAGCCATAGAAGACACATAAATAAATGAGCATGATTGTGTTCCAATAAAATTTTATTTACAAAAATAGGCAGTAGGCAGGATCAGGGGTCAGTACTTTGCTGACCCCTGATCTAAAGATTCCCAACTTAACAAACTAGGAAAAAAAAAAGAAGCAAATTAAACCCAGTGCAAGTAGAAGGATAAGATAAAGAGTGACAACTGATGAAATTAGGAACAGAAAAACAATATACACAATTAATGAAATCAAAAGATGTCTCTTTGAAACATAAAAACCGATGAACCCTTGCAAGACTAATAATTTAAAAAATACAAATAACTCATGTTAGAGATAAAATAGGGAACACCACTACAGACACTATAGATATTCTAAGGATAAGAAGGGAATATCACAAACAACTCCGTGTCCGTAGATTCAACAACTTAGATGAAATGGACATTTTCTTTGAAAGACACAAACTGTCAAAGCTCACTTAAAGAGAAACAGAAAACTTGAATATTCCTAAATCTATTAAGGGATAATGAATGTGTATTTAAAATCCTTTCACAAAGAAAACTCCAAGCCCAGATACCTTCACTGGTTAATCTCACCAAACATTTAATGAAAGGGTGACACCAATTCTATAAAAACTCATCCACAATATAGAAAAGCAGGGAACTCATCCCAACTCATTTTATAATGACAACCTTACTCAGATACTAGAATGAAATAAAGACATTCCAAGAAAAGAAAATAAATCTCCATACTGATAACCTAGGAAACCTACTAGCCAAATGAATTCAGGAATATATAAATAAGATAATACATCATGACCAAGTGTTGTTTGTCCTAGGATTCCAAGACTGGTTCAAAATTCAAAAAGGAATCAATGTAATTTATCATATCAACAGACAATTGTAAGCAAATCCTTATAATCATCTCAATAGATGCAAAAAATCATTTAACAAGATTTGACACCAATAATAAAAACTCGGCAAACTTGTAATGAAGGAAATTTCTTCAACCTGATGAAGGGCGCCTATGTAAAACATGAATGTTTTTTCCCTAAAACTGGAAACAAGGCAAGGATGTCCTCTCTTACTATTCCTTTCATACTGGAATCATACTAGAGGTCCTACCAGTACAATAAGGCAAAAAAAAAAAAAAAGAAAAAAAGAAAGAAAGAAAATGAATACATACTGGAAGAGAAGAAATAAAATTATCTCCATTCCTAAATGAGTGATTATCCATGTAGAAAATCCTAAAGAATATATTAAAAGCTATTAGAACCAATAAGTGAATTTAACAAGATTGCAGGATACAAGATCAATAAACAGAACTCAATCATTCTTCTACATATGAACAATGAACAATTGGAAATCAAAATATTAAAAAGTACCACTTACAATAACACTCCAAACCATAAACTACTTTTTTTTTTTTTTTTTTTTTTGAGATAGAGTCTTGCTCTGTCACCTAGTCTGGAGTGCAATGGTGCAATCTTGACTCACTGCAACCTCTGCCTCCTGGGTTCAAGCAATTCTCCTGCCTCAGCCTCTCGAGTAGTTGAGATTACAGGTGCCCTCCACTGCGCCCGGCTAATTTTTGTATTTTTAGTAGAGATGGGGTTTCGCCACGTTGGCCAGGCTGGTTTCAAACTCCTGACCTCAGGTGATCCACCCGCCTCGGCCTCCCAAAGTGCTGGGATTACAGGCCTGAGCCACTGTGCCTGGCCCAAAACCATGAACTACTTAGGTATAACTTAAAAAACAAAAACCAACAAAATAGAAACCACTCAAACTGCATTCTCTCCCTCTTCCTCTACCACAGGAAGAGAAGAATGATCATCAATGGCAAATGGCAGTTGCGGCCAACCAACACCAGGAGCCAGCTTCGCGCTTAGGAGAGAATGCTGAGCCTTTGCCTTGTGGTTTCCGGTGCTCTACACATTCACAGAAGCTTCTCTAGTAACAAACTATAGAGATGATTGCTGAAAGTATAATTTTGGTATACTTTTTTTTTTATGTGCAAGTTCTCTAAGCTGAAAGCCACAAAACCTGGGTGAAATAAATTTTTAAAAAGATGTAAACAAATGGAGAGACACAGTGTCTTCATGGTTTGGAAGACTCATTATTTTTAAGATATTGACTCTCCCAGCAAGGCATGGTGGTTCATGCCTATAATCCTAGCACTTTGGGAGGCCGAGGTGGGTGGATCACCTGAGGTTAGGACTTTGAGACCAGCCTGGCCAACATGGCGAAACCCCGTCTCTACTAAAAATACAAAAAAATTAGCCAGGCGCCTGTAATCCCAGCTACTGAGGAGCCTGAGGCAGGAGAATCACTTGAACTCGGGAGGCGGAGGTTGTGGTGAGCCAAGATCATGCCAATGCACTCCAGCCTGGGCAATAAGAGTGAGACTCCATCTCAAAAAAAAAAAAAAAAAAAAAAGATATTATTGACTTTCCCTAAACTGATCTATAGATTCAATGCAATACAAAATTAAAAATCACTGCAGGATTTTTGTAGAAGTAAACAAGTTGATTCTAAAATTTACATAGAAAGGCAAAAGAACTATAATAACCAAAACAATTTTGAAAAAGAAGATCAACATTGAAGGACTAACATGGCTTACAAGACCTATTATAAAGCTAAAATAATCAAGACAGTATAGTATTGGTGAAAGGATACAGTCCAGAAATAGCAATTCAATGGAGATAAAAAGTTTTCACAATGGTACTGGAATAACTGGGTATCCATATTCCAAAAAATTAACATTGGCCCATATAACTTATAAAAATCAACTCAAAATAAATCATAGACCTAAATACACAAGCTAGAAGTGTAAACTTCTAGAAGAAAATATAGGAGAATATCTTTGTGAACTTAGGCAAAGATTTCTTAGCTGTGATATCAAAAGTACCATCCATAAAATAAAAAGCTGATAAATTAGCCTTCAGCAAAATTGAAAACTCTGATCTTCAAGAGATACTCTTAAGAGATGAAAAGACAACCCCAGACTGGGAGAAAATATCTGCAAATCATATGTGGTAACACCCATATCCAGAATATATAATAAACTTGTAAAACATTTGAACAGATACTAAGCCAAATGGCAAATAAGCACAAAAAAAGATGCTCAATGTCATTAGTTGTTAGAAAAATGCAAATTAAAACCACAATTAGTCTGGGCACGGTGGCTCACGCCTGTAATCCCAGCACTTTGGGAGGCTGAGGCCAGTGGATCACCTGAGACCAGACTGCTCAACATGGCGAAACCCTGTTTCTACTAAAAATACAAAAAATTAGCCGGGCCTGGTGGTGCGTATCTGTAATCCTGGCTATTCAGGAGGCTGAGGCAGGAGAATCACTTGAACCCAGGAGGCGGAGGCTGCAGTGAGCTGAGATTGCACCACTGCACTCCAGCCTGGGCAACAGAGCAGATTTCGTCTCAAAAAAATCCAAACAAATAAACAAACAAACAAACAAAAAACCACACAATTAAATGCCACTACACTTTTTTTTAGAATGGCTAAAAATTTAAAAAATATGTCTATACATACTTATATGCATACATATTTACAAGCATACACACACACACACACACACACACACACACACACACAGACACACACACATACACTAAGTTCTGGCCTGGATGCAGATCACCTGGTGGTCAGAATGCAAAATGATAAAGCCACTTTGGGAAATCGTTTGACAGTTTTTCTTATAAAGTTAAGCTTATACTTACCATACAACACAGTAATCCTACTACTTGGTATTAGCTAAATGCAACAAAAATTTATGTTCACACAAAAACCTGTATGAGATTGTTTGCAGTAGCTTTATTCATAATTGTCAAAAACTAGAAAAACCCAAATGCCCTTCAACAAAATTAACTATCCACACCAAAAAACACTACCCAACAAGAACACTAGAGAGACTATAACATAGACAAATCTCCAATGAATTAGCTAAGTGAAAGAAGCCAGACTCAAAGGCTGTATAGGTTATGATTCCATTTATATGACCCTGGAACAGACAAAACAACAGGAACAGAGAACAGAACAGTGGTTGCCAGGGACTGGGAGATGGAGAGGGGTTGATTATGGGTGGAGTGACTTTATTGCCTGATGGAACTGTTCTATGTCTTGACTGCAGTGCTCACGGTTGTATACATTTGTCAAAACCCATAGAACTGGACACCAAAAAGGATGTTTCATAGAATGCAAATTATACCTTATTTTAAAATGAAAAAAAGGGGCAAATTATGTAGTGTAAATCAAGGAGGGGCTGTTTACTTTCAACAATTATATGTAGTTCACACTTCAAACTGCTTTCACCACCCAGTCATCTCTAAATTTCCATACAACTCCATAGGCCTCAGTTAAATCATCTGAAAATGAAGATAGTAATAGTATCTACCACATAGTTAGGAATAAATGAAATAACATAGATAGAGTGTTTAGAGCAGTGCTGACATATAATAAGAATTCAATAAATGCTGCCTGCTATTTCTACTGCCACTACAATGACTATTTTACTACCTTTGTTGTTGATGTTGCCTAACCTACTTTTCCCAAGATTTTACATACACTCAAATATATTCCCAAGATTTTACATATACTCATAATACTCATATTCATGCCATAGCAGTAAATAAAGTATGATTAAGGAGGAAAAAGTGAATGAATAAATATGATCTCCTTACCTCTGAACATTTTTCCCCTGATTTTTAGCATATTACTATCTACATAAACCATCCCCTCCTATTACAGTACTAGCACAAAGATATTTCTTTTTACTCAGTCAGGGGAGTTGTATCAGGAGAGGAAGAGCTAATTTGGTCTTTTTCTAAAATCCTTAAGTTCTCGTATCATCTTTGTTCCTGTCTGGGTGACTTTAGAATCAATGCTTTTCTAAAATTAAAGTTTGTAAATAAAGAGTAGAAGTAAAAATAACATGTGATCTTCACTTCTTCAATGGTCAAATGAATGTCAATATTATGCAAAGCTTCTGGAATAACACTCCATCATTATATTAATAAGAGTTAGGCTACATCGAAAATAAGTACAGTTTTCAAGATAAATTCCTTTAAAAATCACAGATAGCTCCAATAAGAAAATTAATTTGAAAAACGTTGAATAAAGGGTAAAGAGAGTGATACAATCTATGCCAGATGTTATGGCACTGGCGCATCTATTGCAGACTTTTATCTTTGACACTTTTTTTATCTATAGAATCTTTTCCATCATCTCTAACTTACCCTCACCTTGCCTTGCCTTCATTCTATAAGACACAGTTTGGAATGTCCTTTACTCCAATACCAAGAGGGGTTGGCCTGTATGGTTCCCCCATCCCACTCTCCCAATCCATATTTGCTTGGTGCACAGGTGGATGCTGGATCAACAATGGGTCAACTGAAGATACTGTCCTGGGAATTTGGAATTGGGCTGACCCATAAGAAAGATATATAAAATTCAACTGTAATGAGGCAACTTTAGAAAGCCTGTCTACAAAAAAAGAAAAATAAATATAGATTTACAGAAAATACAGATAAGACAGACAAACAGGGTGAAAGTATTCCCTCAGTTCTTGATGGTTTTCCATTTCTTATTTCTAATTCCTTCCTATAAGATGGCGCATTTTTGTCTTTGGGTTCCATGACTAAAATAAATTTCTTCTTTTTCCTTAAGTGAAGTCAAGTTGGTTTTGTTTAACGCACCTATCATATTAAAACAACAAATCTTCCACCATTTTTAACCTCTGGGAATGTGTCTCATGCCTACAGATCTACTAGGTCAGTTCACTAGATCAATACTCACAGTTCCTGGAATTTGACTTTTCTCCTCTTTTCATCTAGGTACATACAGTAGCATATGATGCTACACTGCCACAAAATACTTAATAGATTCCATAATAAAATAACACATATTTATAGCTTATAACATATTAAAACTAATGATTCATCTTCAGTAAAATAAATTAGTACCCATATTAATACTACAATTTCCAAGTTCTAAGAAATGAATTTATTTTAAATAAAAGATAATATAAATGTTGTATATGTCAAAACAATCTACCTATAATATGACTGTCAGGTAAAATACAGTATCCCAGTTAAATTTAAAATTCAGATAAACCACAGATAATTTTTAGTAAGTATGCCCCAAATACCACATGGGGGATTTACATGACATAACAAATCACTTTTAAGATAATAAATTCTTTTTGTTCTTTTTATTTGATAAATCCAGACCCAGGGGTAAAAGAATTAATTCAGATCACTCTTACCTGTGCTTTGTGTGATGTTTTCTCTAGGAATATCAACCAACCACAAAATCCGATCACTGAACTTGAATAAAGAAGACATCAGAAAACAATGTTTTACAACATGAATAACAACACATCACATTCTATGCTATATTTTTAAAAGAGAATTAAACAAAAACATCCAATGCATATACCTTTTACCTAGAAATTTCACTCTTAGGAATTTTTCCTACATTATGCTCACATATGTGTGAAATAAAATGTGTTCAAGAATAATTTTGCATCACTGTAATGGCTGAACATTGGAAATAATGAAAATATTCATCAGTTATGTATAATATAGCCACATAGTGGAACTCTGTACAGCCAAGCTTATGTAGCACATAGTTGAAGTATTTACTCATGACATGTCAGAGACAGAGCTTGAGGTTGACAGAGCATTTGGGATATTAAGAGGAAAATTCCAGGAATAAGGAAACTGCAAGAATGGTAATCTCTGAGATTTAAATATAAACTGTGACCAAATTCTTGGGCAATAAAGGTGCAAAGGACACCCCCAGAAGACCAGTTTGTAAAAACTAGCAGTGCAAGCTAAAAGAATTGAGTAGCGATTTCAGCTGCCAAAACCACAGGTAAGATCTTAGAGACGTGTGGTACAATTCTTCTTTTGAAGAAATAATGGCTGGAAACATTCCAAATTTGCTAAACTTACAATTCAAGAAGCCCAGGGAACCTTACTTGGGTAAATCCAAAGAGAAAAATCTTAAAAGCATCCAGAGAAAAATAACATATTACATACAGGAGACAATCGTAAAATTAACAGCTGACTTCTTATTCAGAAGCAAAGGTGTCAGATGACATTAGTATAAAATATTCAAAATGCTGAAATAAAGTGAAGTCAACCAGAAATTTTATATTTGACAAAACTATGCTTCAAAATTTCAGTTGACCACTAAAAACCTGTTAGATCTTACAAACAAGTTTAGCAAGGCTGCAGGATACTAGATCAACATATAAAAATCAATTATTATATTTCTATGTACTTGCAGTGAACAATCTGAAAATGATATTAAGAAAGCAATTCCCTTTAAAACATAAAAAAGAATAAAATATTAGAAATAAATTTAACAAAAGAAGTATAAAACTTATACTCTGAAAACATAAAACATTGTTGAAAGAAATTAAAGATCTAAATAAATGGAGAGACATCCACCCTGTTCATAGATTGGAAGACTTAATATTAGTAAAATGGCAATACTACCCAAATGTATCTACAGATTCAATACAGTCCTTATCAGAATCCCAGATGGCTACTTTGTAGAAATTGGCAAGCTTATCCTAAAATTCATATTATTTTATGTAACTCAGACTAGCAAAAATAATCTTGAAAAAGAACAAAGTTAGAAGATTCATGCTTCCTGATTTCAAACTGTAGTACAAAGCAACAATATCAAGACAATATGATATTAGCATAAAGATAGACATGTGGATCAATGCAATAAAATTGAGAATCCAGAAATAAACTGTCCCATTTATGGTAAACTTATTTTCAACAAAAGTGCCAAAACAATTCAATAGAAGAATAATAGTCTTTTCTACAAGTCATGCTAGGATGGCTGGATATCCACATGCAAAAGAATGAGTAAGGACCCTTATCTCACATCAAATACAAAAATGAACTCAAAATGGATCCAAGATCTAAATGTAGAAGGTAAATTATCAACCTCCTAGAAGAAAACATGTGGGATAAAATTTCATAACCTTGAGTCAGGCAATGGTTTTCTACACATGACACCAAAAGCACAAGCAACAAGAGAAAAAATAGATACAGCCGACTTCATTAAGAAAAACTTCTGTGTATCAAAGGACACTATAAAGAAAGTGAAAAGACAACGCATAGAATGAGAGAAAATATTTGCAAATCATATGTCTGATAAGAGACTTGTATCTAGAATCTATACAGAGCTTTTACAAATCAAAAACACGAATACCCAAACTAAAAATGGGCATATAATTTGAATAGATATTTCTCCAAAGAATGTATTCAAGGGACTAATAAGTACATGAAAAGATACTCAACATCATTAGTCATTTGGGAAATTAAAATCAAAATGATAATGAGATAGCACTTTATACCTACTAGGATGGTTATTTTAAAAAAGATAAATAAAGGCCAGGCATGATGGCTCATGCCTGTAATCCCAGCACTTTGGGAGGCCGAGGCTGGCGGATCACAAGGTCAGGAGATCAAGACCATCCTGGCTAACAAGGTGAAACCCTGTTCTCTACTAAAAATACAAAAAATTAGCCAGGTTTGGTGGCGGATGCCTGTAGTCCCAGCTACTCTGGAGGCTGAGGCAGGAGAATGGCGTGAACCCGGGAGGCAGAGCTTGCAGTGAGCCGAGATCGCACCACTGCACTCCAGCCTGGGTGACAGAACGAGACTCTGTCTAAAAAAAAAAAAAAAAAAGACAAATAAAACCAAGCCTTGGTAAGGATGTGGAGAGACGGGAACCCTAACCCAGGTGTGCTGGTGTGCACTTGTAGTCCTGGCTACTCAGGAGGCTGAGGCAGAACTTCTGGGCACTTTAGCCCAGGAGTTCAAATCCTGCCTGGGCAACACAGCAAGACCCTGTCTCTAAACAAAAAAGAAAGAAAGAAAAGAAATTGGAATTCTAACAAGCTGCTAGTGAGAATGTAAAATAGTACAACCACTTTAGAAAACAGTCTGGCATTTTCTCAAAAGGTCAAACATGGAGTTATCATATGATCCATCAATTCCATCCCTGGCCATGTAGCTAAGAAAAATGAAAATATATTTCCACACAAAAATTTTCACACAAATGTTCACAGCAGCATTATTCAGAAGAGCCAAAAAGTGGGAATAGCCCAAAGGTTCATCAACTGATAAATGGATAAACAAAATGTGGTATTTATACAATGCGATATTATTTGACCATATTATGCTAACTGAAACATATGCTAACTGAAAGAAGCCAGTCATGAACACTACATATATATGTTTCATTTACATAAAATGTTCAGAGTTAGAAAATCTATAGAAACAGAAAGATTAGTGGTTGTCTAGGGCTGGGGAGTGGAGGGGGGATTGGGAGTGACTGCTAATAGTTATAGATTGTCACTTTCATCACTTTTGGAGTGACTAAAGTATTCTGGAATTAGTAGTGATGGTTGCACAACTCTATGAATATACTAAAAACTATTTAAGTGCACACTTTAAATGAGTGAACTGTATGGAATTATATCTTAATAAAGTTGTTGCCAAAAAAGAGGTGAAATAAAGACATTTTTAGAAGGAAAAAACCCCAGAGAATTATTTGCCAGCAGTTCTGCACTGTAAGAAATGCTAAAAGAAATTGACATCAGATGGCAACTTACATCTACAGGAAGGAATGAAGGACAGTATAAATAATAAATATGTAGGTAAAGGGTACAAATAAGTATTTCTTCTTCTTTAATTTATTTAAAAATATATGACTGTTTAAAGCAAAAAGTGTAACACTATCAGTGGGCTTAAAACATACATAGATGTAATATTACTCAGCTACCTATTTTTTAAAAAATACATCCTATAAGGAAGAGTATGCTTCTTGTTAATAACATATCACAGAGTAAGATAAAATGTAATTACCAACGTTAAATTAAAGTGGAAGATGCCATTATATGTACTATTCATGATTCCCAAGCTGGGAGCAAGTCCTCCTGATGTGAACACACTTAGCATTGCTTTTGATGCAATTTCATTTTCAGTTTGGAAGAAACACTGGATTTTCTTTAGGAAAGCAAGAAAAAAAAAAACAACTAATAACCACTTGATGCAGACACACAAGTTAGTTAATCTAAAAGTGATTAGTAATTCCAGTCTCTAGTTAGGAAAAAATATATATATTTATACAAGTATACTTTCAGAACTCAGTAACCTATTATGCTAGCATCATAAAGGTTTCATCTTAATAATAATCTTTTCTATCATAGAAATGGTCATTATTATTACATGTAGTAAACATAGACTCAAAGCAATATGTTATCACAAATAGAAATTCCAATTTTATTAAAATTGTTATTTTGTGTCTAAATAAAAAAGGAAGCAACTATATAAAGCAAAGCCTATTTTACTGCATCTTTACTGGATATTTCCTAGTTTTGAGAAGGCATATGAAAATGTAGCGATCAGAAATGGTGGATTTTCCTGAAAACTAACATGAGACAGATACCAAGAGCTTTATTTCAATTAATTCTCCTAGTACTTAAGATCGCTTTGGGCAAGTTCCCTATCTGAGTTTTAGTTTCCCTAATCTAAAAAATGGGGAAATACATTCATTCCAAAAATATCTACTGAGCCCTTCCTATGAATGGTGCTAGGAATGTAGATGTGAATAAAACAGACAGAACTCTCTGCCCCTGTGGAATTAACATTCTAATGGAGATTGGCAAGTAGACAAACTGGATGGAGAGATTGTTGGATGGATTGGTAGAGAATGAAGGAAAAGATAGAAAAAATGAAATAAATATAGAATACATTATAAGAACGAGGCAGGGAAGGGAGGTTGAGAGTGCAGGAGTTTGGGAAGGCAGTACAATTTTTCACAGGGTTATTAGCGAATAAAAAACAATATTTTCCTCACAGAAGATTAAATGTATAGATTAAATGTCATAATGAACATTAAACTTTTTTTTAAAATGCCTGATACACATAAACTCTTTATAAACGTTAGCTATCACTTCTAATACTACTGCTGCTAGAACTACTATACTACAACTATCCAAAAAGTAGGTTATAATTCCCTTTTTAGAAGAAGAACTGAGGGTTAGAGAGTTTAGGTAACCTGCCCCAGGACACACAGACCATAAATGGCAGAACCAAGACTGGACCCCAGCTCTGTAAGTCCGTCTTCTTCCAAAGCCCATACTTTTTCCATAACATATAACAACAAATCAGAAATGCATTTTTAGCTCAGAGAGCATACACTTCTCAATAGTTGTATATACAAAGCTTAAATATATATTTAAGCATATCAAGAGGGAATTGTGGCCTAAGTCAAAGCAGGCTTAGGAATACATGCATTTGCTCTCATGGAGTCTTTTTCTTTGTTTTTATTATATATATTTATCATAGATTTTTAGACAATCTGTGCATTTTTTATTAATGTATATTTTTGTTAGTATTTGCTGCATGATCTTGATAGCATGCTTTATTTTACTCCGTTGTGTGTGTTTTTAAAAAGTCTCCCATTATTTGAATCAAAGGATCATATCATTCCTTACCCAAAATGACAACTTCAATGTGGTACTTGTTATACAAAGGCAAGACAGATTTTCAAGGTCATGTGAGGTAGCTTTCCTTCTCTAATAGGCTACATCTGTCAGACTTCAAAAGGACAAATCAACTCCACTAAAAAGGGGAGGGAGGAGGCATCATTTTAAAAAAGAAAGAATAAAAGCAAAAACACCCAGGATGCTCTATGGCTAAGTGAAGTATTTTACCTGCTCCAAGTAGACATACACTAGCAAAGATAGAAAAAATTATTATTTATATAGAATTTTCCCTCCCCAAGACTGAACATAGTAGAGGGTATTTGGAAAGAATACAATGCTATTGGTTTTACACATGGATTTTAAAGGAACGTGAAGGGTTATAACACATGCTATTAGTGGACCTTACCAAGTTTTCTAAGAAAAGATACAACTTGATTATTTCATTCTCTTGAGGGAACCCTTTGTTAGAACATGCAAAGCGTTTCTCTGTATCATCTAAATAATAAAAAAAATACATATATTAGATCACTGATAGAAGACTGTCCATAAAAAGTACCATGTTTCTAAAACTGACAAAATATTTTTAAGGAATAAGAATTATAATTGCACATTTTAAATTCACTTTAGGTAAAATTCAAATTTTCCACCTTGTTTTTCTTTTTACACATATGCTATAAGGTATGTTTAGAAACGGAAGGTTTGGCTGAAGCACTAATATAACTCATGCTAGACCATGACACAAAATTTTTAGAGGTAGACAAAAACCAGTTCTTGACACTTCAACGCCTCACCTTGAGGGTATAAAAGGATCCAGAATCAGCAACTGCAGAGAAAATTTGTGTTTTGATAGAGAGGTACTGAATGAAGATGTTAGGAGACGGACCCCTTCTACTTACTTACCTTGTGTCTGAGGCAAGAGGGTCTGTTGGGCACACTAAAAAAAGTAACATGTATCCCTGCAGTTTGGGGCACAAACTCAGACTCCTGCTTAGAAAATCTAGAAGGCAAGAGATGATTTGGTGGAGAGAACAGGATACGGTTTGTTGAGAAAGAGATGGGTACGTTAATGACACAGACAGAAGACAGAAATACTGGGTAGAAGAGGCAAAGGTCCCATCCTCAAGCCTGGAAACCCACAGCCCTAATGAAAACAGGCATTTCTGTTTTCGTGCCCAGAAGTTGCCTTTTGGCCCACCATGGCCCCTATCCTATACCCATATAAACCCCAGACCCCAGGCCTCAGAGCAGACTAGTAGGTAAGCAAGGATATGAACAGAAGAGCAAAAGAACAGCAGAGAGAAGAGAAGGAGCATCTAAATGCCAAGAGGAGCTCCTCTGGGGATGGTCGGAGAGGCCAAAATCCAGGGGAAGATCATCTTCCCACACCATCCCCCTTCTAGGTAGCCATCTGTCCTGCTGAGAGACACCTCAGGCCATTCAGTAAAACCCCTGCATTCATCCTTCAAGTCCATGTGCAAACTGATTATTCCTGGATGCTGGACAAGGACCTGGGTACCAAGAAGGCACTGAGCTGGTAAACACTTAAACCGTCCGTGGACAGCAAGGCTAAGATGGTGCACTGTAACACACACCCACTTGGGTTTCAGGAGTCACAGGCTCCCACCCGTGGATGCTGCCATGGAGCCAGAGCCCAGGCGTGCTCGTCCGGCTCCTGCACCTGCCCATCTGCATGCTCCCCATCCCGTAAGGGGTTCGAGTGCCAGAACAGCCACACCTCTGTATGTCCTGCAAGAGGGGCCAGGGAACTCTCCCGTTTCATTAAGAGTCCTGCACAACCAAAATTTACTGGGGCAAAAGATGGATGAATGCTTCCTGTGGTCCAGATATAGGTCACTGGTGAAAAAGAACTAGCTTAGGGTCATCTAGGTTCCTGTCCTCAAAGGTCTCTCTGAGCGGCAAATGGCTCTCAGCAAAAAGAATTTGAAGGCATAGACAAAGAAATAAGTGACCAGTGGGAATGAAGAAGTTTTTGCCTTTGTTAGAAGAACTGTAGATGAGAGATTCCCAGTAATGTGAGGGAGGGGAAGGGGCTATGAAGGACTCATTCAAGAGCCCAGAGATCAAGGGTCAGCTTTACACATCTGCTGGAACTTGAAAGTGCAAATGTCAGATGGTCCCCTCAGAACCAGCTAGGGCAGAACTGTGCTTTCCCTCCCACTTCTCCCTCCCTTTCTACAACGCTGGAGCAGGAAGGGTCAAAACCTAAAGTTGATGAGACAATGAAAAGGAATCTAAACACTAAGTGGAGAGAAGGAAAAGTTGACCTTAGCTTTTCTTCCTCACCTATAGGCTTCCCACCAGCACAGGCCCAGATAGGGAACAGGGAAGAAGCTTCAATTATAAAATAAGAGTTAAATTTGACTTGTACATGGGCTTGGATATCTTAATTACAACAATTACAATGCAAAAGTGTTTTAAAATTTCAAATGCTCAGAGAACTGATTTTTGGCTCAAGGGGAATATGTGCAGGTTTGTTACAAAAGTATATTTTGTATGCTAAGTTTTGGCGTAGAAATGAATCTGTCTCCCAGGTAGTGAGCACAGTGCCCTCCCTGATCCATTTCTCCTGTCCCTCATATTCCCCAGAGTTTATTGTTCTAGGAGAACTGTGTGAATCATCCAATTGTAACCAAAAAAATCTTGGTTCTGGCCCAAATATTCATCCAGTGACAGAGGAAGAACCATGCCAAAGATTGGATTTAAATAGGAGGCAAAAATAAATTTAATTTATAATTGAACGTTACTCATTCTGTTTGTATAATGTAATGATTTCAATGCTATTCTTGAAATTCTATAAGTAAACATATCTTTACAAATATCACAAATATGCAAAATATACAAATATTTCTGGAGGTTATAATGTTAAACAGTTTTCAAAGTACTTTCAACTTATGCAGTCACTTTGCCCATACTTGACAATGCTATCAGACCTATTTTTTAAAGCTATAATTTGATTGTGAAGTCCAAATCACTTCTCTGTTTAAAAATCTTCACTGACACACCCTTACCTCATGAATTAAACTTCTTAAATGGTGAGACACTAAACAGAAGGAAACTAACTCCTTTGAATAACATACTCTGAGCCATTAAGGCTCAAATGGGTTGAGCTGGATTTAGATGTTATTTTATGAAATTCCCACAATACCTTGTGCCACATATATTACTGTCTCCTCTTTAAAGAAGAGGAAATCAAGCTCAAACGTCATATAACTAACAACAGTGGGCCAGACTGGAACCAAGTTGTTTCTCTAAGGGACATCCTCTCTTTATCCCGCTAGACACTCTTTCAATAGTTAAGCCCATTTTTTCAGTCTCCCCTGCAGACAACCTTGTCTATCACCTCTGAAATGCATGGGCTTCTCTCTACTTCATTTTCTGCCTCAAATTTTAATACATTTTAAGATCCAGTTCAAATAGAAATTTGTTTTTGTTTGTTTGATATAGGGTGTTGCTCTGTCACCCAGGCTGGAGTGTAGTGGAGTGATCTTGGCTCACTGCAACTTCTGCCTCCTGGGGCTCAAGTGATCTTCCCACCTCAGCCTCCTGAGTAGCTGGGACTGCAGGTGAGCACCATCACACCTGGCTAAATTTTGTATTTTTTATAGAGAAGAGGTTTTGCCATGTTGCCCAGGCTGGTCTCCAACTCCTGGGCTCAAGGTATCCTCCTGTCTCAGCCTCCCAAAGTGCTGGGATTACAGGTGTGAGCCACTGCACCTGGCCAAAGAGTTTTTTCTAACACTTGTCTCATTGCAACTAATTGATTTGTCCTCTGCACTTTGGTATCATTTTGTGAATTATGTACTCATATCAACAGGATCTTCTGGGCTTGGGTGGTAAAAACAGAGGCAGAGATACTGTGAGGAGAGACAGAGAAACAATTTCAAACTTTTCTAACTTTCCCTCCACGGACTGCTTTGCCTAGAAATTCTCAGATTATAGAGTTTGCTAGATTCTGTTATAATAATAAAACACAGAAAATTACTCTTTCGCAAGCTTCTAAAGGAAAGATGTGCCAGAGAAGTTATACTTTCAACAGCATGTGACTTCTTCAACAAGAATCATGATATAAAGGGAAACCACACAAGTGTAACCACCAATGGAATGCCTGCTCTGACTACCATAAAAATCCACTGTGGGACAAACGTACAGAAAAAAATGCCATTTATGAAATTCATTCATTGCCCTATTCACAGTTATACAACCACAACAGTCCCCCTTTTTCTGTGATCTCACTTTCCACAGTTTCAGTTACCTGTAGCCAACCATAGTCTAAAAACATAAAGTGGAAACTTTCAGAAATAAGCAATTTGTAAGTTTTACATTGTGCACTGTTCTGAGCAGTGTGATAAAATCTCATGCCATCGGCCAGGTGTGGTGGCTCATGCCTGTAATCTCAGCACTTTGGGAGGCTGAGGCAGGTGAATCACGAGGTCAGGAGTTCAAGACCAGCCTGGCCAAGATGGGTGAAACCCCATCTCTACTAAAAATACAAAAATTAGCCAGGCGTGGTGGTGGGCACCTGTAATCCCAGGTACTCGGGATATTAGAAGCCTCTAGACCAGAGTATAATTGACAATATTGGGAAACAATTGGAAGATAAGATAAAGAAGAAATACTAAAAGAAAAATTTTTTACTGTAAATAAGGAAGAGACACAAATAAGAACTCCTGAGAAGGAAATAGAGAGTAAGATGGTCTGAAACTTACCTTTATTATATACTATTCCTGATGAAAATTCAAATATGTTCAAAAGCAAAACTGAAACATATATAAGTGGCGATTCCATCTGTTGGAATAAATAAGAATTATTTTCACTCAATTTCTGAACATATTTTTGAATTCCTTTTGCTATAAACAACTACAAAGTAGTAAAGAAATAATCTCAATATTCTTAATATTTCACACTGTGTGACAAAAGCAGACAACACAACAGTTGCCTAAACTCTAAATTTACTCCCTACTTGGTATTAAAGGTAAATTTATAGGTATAATTATTACAAACTAGAAAAAGAGATGTGGCTCAGGTTTTCCTTCAGTAGGTAACCTTTAGAGAGGTGAGATCAGTTACACAGCTATGTAAAACAGAGCCTGAACTGATGAAGACTCTGAGGATGATACAGCTGTAACTTAATCTAATATTTTGACAACGTTGCTTTTGGGGAAGACAATTCACATGGTCCTGAGTTTCCCTGCACATTCTCGTTGAGTGTGCCAAGAATGCAAGGCCCTGGATGGTGTTCATCTCAGGCTTGTGTTTTGTAGCCACCAGCCTTGAGGGATGAGGTAAGGCACCCTGGACAACAGCAGGCTTGTTTCCATGGTGAATTGCTTAATCTCACTGTACCTCTCCTGTAATGCACTCCACTACGTGTATAAGCATCCATTATGGGCTCAATTTTCTACCCTCAAAATTCTGAAGTTGAAATCCTAACCACCCTTACCTCAGAAGGCAATCATGTTTGGAGATAGGATTTTTAAACAGGTGATGAAGTGAAAATGAAGTCATTAGGGTGGGCCCTCATCCAATAGGACTGGTGTCCTCAGAGAAGAGGAAATTTGGACATAGGCAGGGTGAAGTGAAGACACAGAGGGAAGACATTCAGAGGGAAGATGAAGGGAAGACACAGGAAGAAGACAGCCAGCCACCTATAAACTCAGGAGAGACGCATGAACAGTTCCTTCCTCATGGCCCTCAGAAGGAATTAACCCTACAGACACCTTGATCTCAGATTTCTAGCCTCCAGAACTGTGAGAAAATAAATTTCTGTTGTTTAAGCCACCCAGTGTATGGGCCTTTGTTATGGCAGCCCTAGAAAACTAACACAGCATCCATGATGAATTTCACCTCTAAGGAACTTGGGGGACAGGAGGTACTGGAGTGAGCAACCTGTGGACACTCTGGCTACTGCTTTTGCTATTAGTAATAAAGTCCTTCGTCTCTGACCTAGGAGTCTTGTGTCTTTTGCCAGCATCCAAGAAAACAGAAACATACTAATTTGCCAACTCTAAGTGGAATAAAATCTCAGAACTTTGTGCAGTTCCTGACAACTGCTGAGTAAATTAAATGTAACTGGTGTTTTTCCTTCATCAAAACTGACTTGCTTATTAAATACATTTAATTGACAATAGAAAGCTCAAACAGTTTGATTTTTTTGAATTCATTCTTATCACATTAACAGGGGAGAACTGAAGGTTTTTAGTGCATTTTTAAAAATCATCTGAGAAAACAACTTGTTTTCACAAGGTAAGAGGAAACAAATGGTAGATTAAAATTCTGTCGGCATGGTGCAATGCTCAAGTATATTTTTGGTGTAAGAACGAATTTAACATTAAGTGGAGACATTATCACAGTTAAACTCTGAAAATAGTCCCTTTACCAGAAAAATCTTATATCACTTTGCTAAACATTCAAATTAAATGATACAACACCATTATTAGAATCTTTATGCCTCTTCATGGGTCACCTGTGCAAACTCGAGAGAGTTAGTATGAAGCACGTGGTGGAAATTCTGGTTTTAATGTCAGCAAGCTTGTTCTGCAAGCTTTCTTATCTGCCATCCTGCAAGCTCAAGAATTTCTGCTACCTACTGGTTTCTTTAATTCTTTGGGGCATAGTTCCAGTCTCATTCTTCTTATTTTCCCTTCAATATTACAACTTTTCCTTATTTGATACTATCTTCTTTCAACTTTCAGCTCATAGTTAGAGTAAAAACATAGACTTTAGCCTAAGACGAAGTCTGTCCATCGAAATATTTGATTTTTAGCAAGCTATTTAACTTCTTGGAGTTCATATTCTATTCAGTAAAATGGGGATAACAGGCACTTCACAGTGTTGTTGTGAGAATTAAATGAAAAATACCTTAAAACATCTAACATATTCTATACAGAATAAGCACTTGACAAGTATTACTTCTGAATTCCATATCTCCATACACTGCAGCAACTTCTTTTTCCTCATCACACTCCCCTACTGACCTACTTAGCAGTTAAATTACCCCCAGTTATCATTCCTTTGTAATTATTATAAGTTTTACATAATTACTGGATACAAGTCATGTATCTGGGCATTTTCTCTTCTCTGGCACTAAATAAACATTGGGAATTGCCCCATTGAAGGAAGCTATTTCCTCCCCCAGTTGGTTCATTTATAGTTACTCCATTATTATGGAATAGTGATCACATTATAAATTCATACTCCAGCAGGGTCCTTATTTTAATATTTTTTACTGTAATTACCTCTTTAGGAGATGCGCAACTAGTTGTGTTCTTCTTTTTTATATTTTTTCTCAGTTTTCTTCCATATAGACTGAGAAGAAAGACCCAAAGTCAGGAGCCAAGTTTTCCCTGTTGACTGGCTTAGCACTCTAGTCACCTTTGGTAACAGCCAATCAGCAGCTACCAAGTACAGAAGCATGCTTAGAAAATCTAAAGGACAGGCAGTTGGAATTTCCAACTAACTGCCTCTTTCAGAGCACCACAGGCCATTTTCTTTAAAAACCGATGAGAGGTGGAGGTTCTCCAAACCTTCCATCTTTAATATAGCATTTATCTAGGAAGGATCAGAAACCTACATATGATTATCTATAAAACACTTCAATGATCATACGATCATTGAATGCCTGGGGAAAAACATAAATGCTAAAAGCTCATGCTAACTGCATATAATAAGGTTTAAAAGGAGGCAATCTCTCAAAGGGGAGGAGCTTCATAACTGGGTCTTTAAGGAAGACTGGGACTTAAAAAAAATAGAGAAGGCCTTATTGACAGGTAAACAAGACAAGCAAATACACAAAGCACAAAGTTAGAAATGAGCTGTGGACGCATGGAAACAGTGAGACCAAATGGCATGCCAGTTTGTCCTCCGTATTCATGTTGTGTGACTGTCCTTGATGTGGTTGTATGTGCTCACTAAGGCTGCCTTTGACTGAGTACCGAGTGAGCTGAGCTTGAACCTTTCTGTCTTACCCAGCGCCCTGACTAGTCATGAATGGTCACAGAGGCTGACACATACTTTTTGATAATCATGATAATAAAACGTGTTTTATACTCAGGTTGTCCTTCAGAAGTCCCTTCACATGGCCATGTAAAACCTGCTTTACCCTCATATCCTGAAATATGTCTGGTATCTGGGTTTAATCTATTCCTGGAAGAGCCCGCATCAGAAATATATTTCTCTCACCCTTTCTGGTGACCTTGACCTAAAGAAGAACCTGAAACAGTGTGCAAAACACAACAAAATATATTTCCTTATAAAGACTCAGTTCCCAGAAACTTGGAGCTCTCTTTTTTTGTTGCCTGTTTCCCACTAGGGAAGGCAATAAAGCTTTTATGGAAGAAGATGTAGCTTTCAGTTACCATAGCAACACTGCTACACATTAAAAAAAAGTCTGAGCAATACTGAAGGTACACATTGAGAGCTCTAAAAAGAATGATGAAGCAGGTGACATTTGCCTTCTTTCTCCCCAGCAACCTCTTAGTTTTCTTTTCCTCATTTGCCCCCACATTTTGTTTCCTAACTTACGAAAGAGTAAAGGATCTGTTTTCAATCACAGTCACTGATGAATTACACTTTGATGTGAGTACCAAGACTACTCCCACAGTAGGTGATTCATCTGTAACAGTGGAATGAAAGGGGTTCTTCTGCCTGAAAAACAAATTATGCACTGGGCTTCCGTCTAGTCAGGAGGATAGGGGGCAAGGCAATGGGCTGATTGAAAGAAGGATGACTTTGACTTTTTTTGTAATTTTTTGCTGGCTATAACAGGGCTTATTATGTGTGAAAAATGAAAACAAGTATAGAGAAATCAATTACGCATAAATCAACAACCAGATATAACCACTGTGGACATTTTGACATTTCTCGAGTCTGTTTCTTCTGCATTTATATGTCCTTCTTTCAGTCATTGTTAGTCTGACCATTTTCTCGTGTAACTCAAGTGTTTTATTTAAGTCTTCGCAGTTGTAGATCTAAAAATAACGGTACCTAATTTACTTAAACATAAAATATTTTTCTATTTCCAGTGTTTTCCTTTTTGAGAAATGTGGTAATGAATAATCCTGAACAAAATTATTTTCCTACATTTAAAAATATTTCCTTAGGATATGAACATGTTTAAGACTCTTGAATGTATGTTGACAAATTGCTTTCCAGAAACCCAGCAGTGAAAATTAGATATAATCTGAAATAATTTGATACATTAAAAAATCTTGTTTTACTTTTTTCAATATTGGTTCAACTGAACACTTATAAATATGCTTGTTTGACATTTTTTTCTTCTATAAATTATCTGGGCATGTTGTTAAACATTTTCTACGGGAAATTTAGTGTTTTGCTTGTGAAATGGTAAAATAACCCCTTGCAATATTTAATGTAAATATTTAACTCAATTTGTCATGTAACAATTTTATTTATAAATTTTTCTTGTCTTTGTTTTATTTATTAATTTATTTATTTGAGATGGAGTCTCATCTCTGTCATCCAGGCTGGAGTGCAGTGGTGCAATCTTGGCTCACTGCAACCTCCGCCTCCCGGGTGCAAGTGATTCTCATGCCTCAGCCTTCTGAGTAGCTGGGATTACAGGCGTGCGCCACCACGCCCAGATAATTTTTGTATTTTCAGTAGAGACAGGGTTTCACCATGTTGGCCAGGCTGGTCTTGAACTCCTGACCTCAGGTGATCTGCCTGCCTCGGCCTCCCAAAATGCTGAGATTATAGGCATGAGCCACCGTGCCCAGCCTTCTTATCCTTTTTATGTGAGAAATTTTAAAGACTCAAAAAGTTCAAAGACTAAGATAACGAGGATGTTTCAGTCATCCAAGATTAAAATCACCCTCAGTTTTTAATAACTTTTTATTATGGGATGTGCCAAACATTGGGGGAAAAGTAGAGAGAACTATACATTATATATATGTAAATAATATATATATTATAACATATATATTCTATTTTGTGTAATTGCCTACCTTCGGTCTTGTTTCATCTATACTCTCTTTCACTCACTTCCTCCTCTAGTATTATTTTGTTGTTTTTTGGTGGTGTTTGTTGTTTTTTCTGAGGCACAGTCTCGCTCTGTCACCCAGGCTGGAATGCAGTGGTCTGATCCCGGCTCACTGAAACCATCCACCTCCGGAATTCAAGAGATTCTCTTGCCTCAGCCTCCCAAGTAACTGGGATTACAGGTGTGCGCCACCACGCCCAGCTAATTTTTAGTAAAGATGGAGTTTCTCCATGTTGGTCAGGCTGGTCTCAAACTCCTGGCCTCAAGTGATCCATCTGCCTTGGCCTATCAAAGTGCTGGGATTATAGGCATGAGCCACCGCATCCAGCCTGCAGGATTACTTTGAAGATATCCTAGACAACTGTATATATTTCAGTATGTATTTCTAAGAGAAAATGACTTTTTTTAAAGAAAAGAAAACCACAATACAATTTAAAACCTAAAAATAATAGTAAGTCCCAGATATCTACCCAGTGACTGTTTATATTTCCTCAGTTACCTCATTCACAAAATTTTTTATAGTTGTATGAATCAGGATTCAATAAGGTTCAAACTTTGCCACTGGTTGATGTATCTCTGAGGTGTCAAAATCTACAAGTAATTTTCCTTTCACCTCTCCCTTCACCCCATCATTTTTTTTTCTCTCGCTTTTTCCTTGAAATTCATTAAAGAAGAAGTTAGTTGTAATGTGTTTCCCATGGTTTGGATTTTGCTGAGTGCATCATTATGGTATCTTTTTACATCATAAGTTTATCATATTGTTCGGTAAATTGTTAAGTAGATTTAGAGGCTTGATCAGATGCAGGTTTAATTTTTTTGTCAAGAACACTTCATAGGTGGTGTTGGGTACTTCCATCAGGAGGCACCTAAGGTGTGGTTAGCTCTTTTTCTGATGTAGCATCTATCATTTATTGCCTAAATCTGTTAAATTCATTAGAGGCTGCAGAGTGGTGATGTATTATCATTTCTTCTTTGCTTATTAGCTGGAATACTTTTATAAAGATAACTTTTCATGCATCAACTATTTGTTTACTCAGAGGTACAATTCCTAAGAGAAGACAAATGCTTCATTCTTTTCCTTCGTTTACCATTTTGAAAATAATGAATTGATTCCCTAGCATCCTTATAGAGGCAACCAATAAAGTTCATTTTTGCTATCATTATGAACTCACAGGTTTCCATTTAAATATATTTAATGTATTTCTATCATTATGGTTATTATCCTTATTGATGCTCAAGGTGTCTAATTTTAACAGGTATGGTCCCTCCAAAGTTCGCTTCTGTCTTTTTGACATGACTCTAGTCATTTTTGACAGTTTCCTTCCTTCCTTATAAGACAAGATACTCTAGGCTCACCTTCTACATTTCCTGCCCCAGACATGGACTCAGTCATTTCTCTATATAATTCTGATTCCTTTTACTGGAAAATCGTATTCAGAAGCCATAGTTTTGGGAATTTGGCCAGTCTTTTTTTTTTTTTTTCTTTAATAAATATAGAAAACCTGGCCAGGTACAGTGGCTCACACTTGTAATCCCAGCACTTTGGGAGGCCAAGGCAGGCAGGTAACTTGAGGCCAGGAGTTCAAGACCACCCTGGCCAACATGGTGAAACTCTTCTCTACTAAAAATACAAAAATTAGCTGGACGTGGTGGCACACGCCTGTAGTCCCAGCTACTCAGTAGGCTAAGGGCAGGAGAATCACTTGAACCCAGTAGGCGGAGGTTGCAGTGAGCCAAGATCATGTCACTGTACTCCAGTTTAGGCAACAGAACAAGATCTGTCTCAAAAAGAAAGAAAGAAAGAAAAAGAAAGGAAGGAAGGAAGGAAGGAAGGAAGGCAGGCAGGCAGGCTTATGTAGGCAGGCTTATGTAAGATAGATGGTGGCCACCTAAAACTTAATTTCTCCACATATTCTTTTAAAAGTCCTATAATAAGAGGAGAATTAATAAAACAACTCATAGCACAACTGGGAGGCGGAGATTACTAACAACTTTAACTTACATATAAGTAGGAAAAGAAGCATATGAAACCAGAGGGATCAACTCCAGAGTCCACACCAAAGTGAAGTCAGGTAGAGGTTGTGTGGAAAAGAACAGAGGACAGCAGCAGTGGAGCAGCGGTGGAATCCGGATTAAATCTTCTCTAACGGAGTTCTGCCTAAAAGAGGAAATATACTGACAATGGGGTTGAGAACTGGTGGACTAGAACACTGCCTTGAAAATCTTCATGCAGTTTAGGAAACCATCGTTCTAAAGGAGAGGTAGATGTTTTGGAAGGGGGAGAAATTTTTGGATGTTTGATGGTGAAGAAAAAAGCAAGCAAGCAATAAAAATTAAAGGTCATACAGAAAGAAAAGAGAACCAGACGCTGGGAAAACACACCTACTCCACCCACAAAACTTCCATGTATAAAAATTGAACTTTACTGTAACAACAGAAAAGGATGCCTTTGAATTAAGAAGCCTAGGTACACACTCAAATTCTACCCCTTCAGGCTTCTCCAAAACAAGAGAAAACAGTGGCATTCCAAAATGAACACAAAATAACAGGCAATATCATACAAAGCTATTAGAGGGTAGAAAATGAGGCTGGGCACAGTGGTTCATGCCTGCAAATCTCAGCACTTTGGGAGGTCCAGGTGGGAGGATCACTTGAGCCCAGGAGTTCAAGATCAGTCCTGGCAACATAGCGAGAGTCCATCTCTACAAAACAGTTGAAAAACTTAGCTAGCCGGGTGCGGTGGCTCACGCCTGCAATCCCAGCACTTTGGGAGGCTGAGGTGGGTGGATCACAAGGTCAGGAGATCGAGACCATCCTGGCTAACATGGTGAAACTCCGTCTCTACTAAAAATACAAAAAATTAGCCAGGCGTGGTGGTGCACAACTGTAGTCCCAGCTACTCAGGAGGCTGAGGCAGGAGAATCACTTGAACTTAGGAGATGGAGGTTGCAGTGAGCCTAGATCGCACCACTGCACCTCAGCCTGGGCAATAGAGCGGGACCCCGTCTGAAAAAAAAAAAAAACTTAGCCAGGCATGGTGGTACACGCCTATAGTCCTGGATGCTTGGGAGGCTGAGGCAGGAAGATAGCTTGAGCCCAGGAGCTTGAAGCTGCAGTGAGTCATGATCACACCACTGCACTTCAGCCTGAGTGACAGAGCAAGACCCAGCTAGAGAAAACTGACACAACACTTCAACCTGAATTAAGTACGTTAAAATAATAATATTCATATTTTTTAAATCACCTTGAATAATTAGTTCAAAATAACTCAGACTAGAACATAGAACAAATAGGAAGATATGGAATGAGAGTTGACCAAACTCAGGAAATGGAAGAAAAAGACAAAATAATCTTATTAAATAAGATAAAGATTAAATATCAAGGTGCCCAAAAGAAAATAGTTTCGACCACAAACGTAATAAAGATCATGAAGGAGAAGAATGGCAACCATCAAGAGAACACAATTAAATAAGGAAAAAGATAAAAGTATCAGAGGAAAAAGTAGTACGTACAGACAACAGGAAAAGAAAATCCAACATCTTCCCCAAACTAAAGAAAGCACAAGTATACAGACTGAAAATATTTAAAGAATGCCAACATGAAGAATGGAAAAAGTTCATACCGGGTCACACCTTATGAAATTTCAGAACAAGGATAAAGGTTCTCAAAAACTTCTAGAGAGAAGTTCCTACTAAAGGAACAGAATCAGACTGACATGAGTCCTTATCCGCAATATTGAATGAAGGAAGAAAATGGGAGCAATGCTTTCAGAGTCCTAAAGGAAAAATAAATGATTTCAGTCTATAATTCTATAATCAATCAAAGAAAGTATGAGAATGAAATAAAGACATTTTACCCAAGCAAAGTATAATGACCATATGTTGTATTTTGGCTGATCAGCATCCATTCCACCAGTCTTTGACAGTAAGTTTTTTATTTTGGGGGACTTGCCCTCCCTTTGTAGTCTCGTGGGACTGTTAATCAAGGTACCCTGCCTTTCCATAGCCAAGTAGCAAGCATATGATCCAAGCCAGACAATAGGGTCCCCTCTCCTGGAGCGGGAATCCTGAGCATGGTGATCAAAAGACTGATGATAGTGAGAGCTGATTCTTGCGGCAGATTCCAAACAAGATTAATAAGCACTTTTTGCTATATCCCCCTCTGGAGCTGCCTAACCTTTATCTTTTCTGAACAGGGTTCATCCATAATTTCTGAGTCTGTGAGCACCCCATTATCTTTCAAATAAATTCCTTTTTAAAGTCTACTTTTACTGCATTATCTAATTGATACTACTAGGACTTAGAAATTTATATCCAATGAATTATTCTTGGGAAGTTATCTGAGGAATTCCAGCAAAACAAAAGACATGGAACCCAGAGAGAATTGGAGACAACCCAGAAGATAGTTAAATTCTGGGAAGACAAGAGGGTAGCAAAACTAGAGAGTAACCAATCTAGACTGGAACAGGATGACAGAAAGCTCCTGTTGAAAAAATAAACAGAAAAAGAAAAAAAAATTCAGTATAAAGTACGACTGAAAAAAAACAGAAAAACTTGAAGATATAAAAACACATAATTTTTATAAAATTCAACATTCCTTCATTATCAAAAATAACCATCAACAAATTAGGTATAGAAGGAATGTTTCTGCATGGTACTGGTACCAAAACAGAGATACAGACCAATGGAACAGAACAGAGCCCTCAGAAATAATGCTGCATATCTACAACCATCTGATCTTTGACAAACCTGACAAAAACAAGAAATGGGGAAACGATTCCCTATTTAATAAATGATGCTGGGAAAACTGGCTAGCCATATGTAGAAGCTGAAACTGGATCCCTTCCTTACACCTTATAAAAAAATTAATTCAAGATGGATTAAAGACTTAAACGTTAGACCTGAAACCATAAAAACCCTAGAAGAAAACCTAGGCAATACCATTCAGGACATAGGCATGGGCAAGGACTTCATGTCTAAAACACCAAAAGCAATGGCAACAAAAGCCAAAATTGACAAATGGGATCTAATTAAACTAAAGAGCTTCTGCACAGCAAAAGAAACTACCATCAGAGTGAACAGGCAACCTACAGAATGGGAGAAAATTTTTGCAATCTACTCATCTGACAAAGGGCTAATATCCAGAATCTAAAATGAACTCCAACAAATTTACAAGAAAAAAAAAACAAAATCCCACCAAAAAGTGGGCGAAGGATATGAAAAGACACTTCTCAAAAGAAGACATTTATGCAGACAAAAGACACATGAAAAAATGTTCATCATCATTGGCCATCAGAGAAATGCAAATCAAAACCACAATGAGATACCATCTCACACCAGTTGAATGGTGATCATTAAAAAGTCAGGAAACAACAGGTGCTGGAGAGGATGTGGAGAAACAGGAACACCTTTACACTGTTGGTAGAAATGTTTCTGAATACAGTAAAGGTAATACGAGCCACACCCACAGCTAACATCATACAAAATGGTGAAAAGTTGAAAGTTTTTCCTCTAAGATCAGGAAGAAAACAAGGATGTCCACTCTCATCAGTTTTATTCAACATAGCACTAAAAGTCCTAGCTAGAGCAATCAGGCAAGAGAAAGAAACAGAAGGCATCCAAACTGGAAAGGAAGAAGTTAAAATGTCTCTGTTTGCAGATGACATAATCTTATATTTGAAAACCTTAAAAATTCCATAAAAAAACTGTTAGAACTAATGAACAAATTAAATAAAGTTGTAGGATAAAAAATTAATAACAAAAATCAGTAGCATCATACACTAACAAAGAAGTATCAAAAAATTAAGAAAATCCCATTTATAATAGCATAAAAATACTTAGGAGTAATTGAACCAATGAGGTGAAAGATCTGCACACTGAAAAGTATAAAACATTGATGAAAGAAGTTCAAGAAGACACAAATGAATGTGAAGAGATCCCATGTTCATGGATTGAAAGAATTCATATTGTTAAAATGTCCATACTACCAAAAGTGATCTACAGATTCGGTACAATCAATGTCAAAATTCCAATCACATTTTTACATAAATAGAAAAAAAATCCTAAAATTTCTATGGAACCACAAAAGATCCCCAATAGCCAAAGCAATCTTGAACAAAAAGAACAAAGCTAGAGGTATCACATTACCTGATTTCAAAATATATTTAACAGTAATCAAAACAGCATGGTACAGCATAAAAACAGACACATTGACCAATGGAATAGGATAGAGATCCCAGAAATAAACTTACACATTCATGGTCAATTTATTTTCAACAAAGATGCCAAAAACACGCAATGGGGAAAGAACAGTTTCTTCAATAAATATGATTTGAGAAACTGACTATCCACATGCAGAAGAATAGAATTAGACCCTTCTCTCATCCCATATATAAAAATCATCTCAAAATGATTAAAGAATTAAACATAAGACCTGAAACTGTAAAACTACTAAAAGAAAACATGGGGGAAAACACTACATTTATCTGGGCAATGATTTCTTGGATATGACCCCACAAGCACAGGAAAAAAGGAAAAGTAGACAAATGGGATTACAACAAAAATCTTCTGCACAGCAAAAAAACAATTAACAGAGTGAAGAGACAAACTTCAGATACGAAAATGATATTTGCAAACCATACATCTGATAAGGGGTTAATATCCAAAATATATAAGGCATTCAAACAACTCAATGACAAGAAAACAAATAACCTGATTTAAAAATGGTCCTGGGTACAGTGGTGCAAACCTGTCATCCCAGTTACTCAGGAGAATGAGGCAGGATTGCATGAGCCCCAGAGTTTGAGTTCAACCTGGGCAATATAGCGATATTCCGTGTTAAGAAGAAATTTCTTTTTAAAGGGGAAAGGGCCTGAATAGACATTTTTTCAAAAGAAGACATACAAAATGGCCAACAGGTATATTTTAAAATGCCCAATATCACTAATCATCAGAGAAATGCGAATTAAAACTGCAATGAAATATCACTTCATACCTATTAGAATGGCTATTGTTGGTGGGAATGTAAATTAGTACAGATACGTACATTTTGTATTAGTATGCATACATTTTGGTAAATGGTATTAAGGTTCCTTTAAAAACTAAAAATATAATTACCATATAATCCAACAATTCCACTTTTGGGTATATGTATGTGTATATATATATATATATATATATACACACACACACATATATATATCCAAACAAAATGAAATCAGTATGTAGAAGCGATATCTGCATGCCCATGTTCACTGCAGCACCGTTCATAATAACCAAGATATGGAAACAACCTAAGTGTTCATCAATGGATGAATGGATAAAGAAAATGTGGTGTATATACTGTTTAGCTTTAAAAAGAAGAAAATTCTGGCAGGGCGTGGTGGCTCATGCCTGTAATCTGAGGACTTTGGGAGGCCGAGGCAGGCATATCACTAGAGGTTAGGTGTTCAAGACCAGCCTGGCTAACATGGTGAAACCCTGTCTCTACTAAAATATAAAAATTAGCCGGGAATTAGCAGAGGTTGCAGTGAGCTACGATCACACCACTGCACTCCAGCCTGGAGACAGAGCAAGACTTTGTCTCAAAGAAAAAAAAAAAGAAGGAAATTCTGTCATTTGCAACAACATTGATGAATCCAAAGGACAGTATGCTAAGTGAAATAAGTCAGGCACAGAAAGACAAATACCTCATGATCTCATTTATATGTGGGATCTAAAAAAGTCAAACTCATATAAGTACACCATAGATTGATAGTTACCAGAGGCTTGTAGGGGGTGGTGGCAGCATGGACAGAGAAAGGAGAGATGTTAATAAAAGGGTATAAGGGTACAATATTCCTTTGTCCTTATTTTCCAATAAGTCTTTTATTTTCAGAATGTGCCTTTTTATAGATTCTATTTTTATTTCATGTATGTAGTAACATTCTTTTCTGAGACTTAATGGCAGGGTTTTGGTTTTTGTTTTACTCTCCTTGCAAAGTTTGATTCTGTAAGTCATTTTTCCTTTTTATTTTTTCTGGTTTCAATCTTTCAATTTTGAGGCTTCTTAAACATGTATCATAATCCTTGGTTTTCTATTCAGATTTAAAAGCAAGTTCTAAGAAGCTTATCTGAGGCGCTGGATCAAAGAGAGGCCTATCTACTGTGAGTTTCACTGTAGCACATTCTGGAGTTGTTTTACTGGGGAAAAATCTCAAGTAGGTCTTTTCTCTTTGGCTTCTCAAATTCCCTGGGTCTTCCATCTCCTTCCCAAAGAGTACAGTCTTGGCTGCTAGTATTCTGAGATGTCAATATGCAGTATTTCATCTTGTTCTCCTGTTTTCAATAGGCACCCACATTCTCAAATGTTCTTGATATCTACCAGGCCACAGACCCTCTGTTTTACCCTCTCCCAAGAAGAAACTTCCAACTTCTCCCTGAAAGGGGGAAGTGCAGCTGGTAGACTGTAGAGTACTGGGGAGATAATCTAAATACTTCTTACATGAGTATTCAAACAATCCTACTTTTGACCCCACTTTCATTTCCACTTCAAAATCTACTTAGTGCTGTGAAGTCCTGAGCCCTTTGGGGGGTTCTAGAATACAAATCACATTGCTTTTAGTCTTTTCCAAAAGCCAGTTTAGGATTCTGGCTTTCCTACATCTGCTAATTTAGTTATCACTTAGCCATTTGCTTTCTAGCTGTCTAAATTTTGTTCCTACTGTCAAGTCTCCAGTTCTCTCTGTCCTTATGTGTTTACGCCACTTCAAAAATTCCTTTAGTGTGTAGTTCAGGAGTGAGAATACCTGTGTTCAAAGCCAAGAAACAGAAATTCTAAATGTGTCATGAATTTAAACAATTGATGGAGAGGGCTATGGTTTGAGTGTGTCCCCTCCAAAATTCAGGTGTTGAAACTTAACGGCCATTGTGATAATGTTAAGAGGTAGTGCCTTTATGAGGTCATTAGCCCATGAGGGCTTTGCCTCAAAATGGGATTAAGACCCTTATAAAAGAGGCTTCTTGCAGCGTTCTGCTCCTTGCCCTTCTGCCTTCTGCATGGGAGGGCACGGCACTCTTCCCCTCTGGAGGATGCAACAACACAGGGCCATCTTGGAAGCAGAGAGCAGCCCTCAAATCAGTGGGAGACTTGACCTACAACTACCCAGTCTCCAGAACTATGGGAAATAAATTTCTGCTTTGTATAGATTACTCAGTCTCATGTATTTTGTTAAAGCAGCAGACTAAGACAGAGGATAATTAAAAAGAGATCCATTTGATTTTGATGCTGGGAACATTCTCTTTTTGATGGCCTAGAGGTCATGACATTGGACCTCTAAGAAGGAGGAAATATGTTTCCTCCATTGGACCTCTAGGACCTCCACTGTTCCTCCACTGGACCCCCAGGAAGGAAGAAGATCAAATCCAGGCCAGATAGTGTGCCAGGATTATATTTCCTCCTCTAGAGGAGGAAATAAACAGTATTTACACAGTCATTGTGGCAAACATAACCCAAGGTGACCCACAATGATTCATGTCCTTGTATAATCCCCACCCCTTGAGTGTGCGTGGGACCTGTGACTTGCTTCTAACCAATAGGATATGGTAAAGATTATGAGACGTCACTCATTTAATTAGGTTATATTACATGACAGAGGTGTGGGATGTCACTCCTGTAATTATGTTTCATTACTTAAGAAGTCTTATCAGACTGCAGGGAGCCTCCTGCTGGTTTTGAAGATGGAAACAGCCATGTTGTGAGCTGCCTGTGAAGAGGGCAGGGAATTGCAGGCAGCTTCTAGGAGCTAAGGGTGGCCTCCAGTTAGAAAAATCAAGGACTCAAGGAAGTAAAATCTGTTAACAATCTGAGCTTATAAACAAATTCTTCCCTAGTTGAGCCTTCACTTGAAAAATCAGTCCAGCCAACACCTTGACTGCAGCCCTGTAAGACTCTGAACAGAGAACCAGCTAAACTTGTGTCTGGACCTATGAAACTGTGAGATAAAAAATCTGCACTGTTTTAAATCACTGTGTGTGATAACTTATTATGCAGTAATAGAGAACTAGTATAGATTATAACACTTTTTTGGAACTCCAAGTTGAGACTGCTAACTGGCCACTTTGGCCTCTCATACATCTTTGAATCTACAAACAAAGAAAGAGGTTACTGTACTGGCTAGACTGATGGATTATTTTTTTTTGAGACAAAGTCTCGCTCTGTCGCCCAGGCTAGAGTGCAGTGGCGCAATCTCGGCTCACTGCAAGCTCCACCTCCCAGGTTCACCCCATTCTCCTGCCTCAGCCTCCCAAGTGGCTGGGACTACAGGTGCCCACCACCACACCTGGCTAATTTTTGTATTTTTTAGTGGAGACGAGGTTTCACCATGTTGGCCAGGGTGGTTTCAATCTCCTGACCTCATGATCCACCCGCCTCGGCCTCCCAAAGTGCTGGGATTACAGGCATGAGCCACCGCGCCCGGCCGAGTGATTGACTCTGACTACCAGCGGGTAACTGGGTTGGTACTACACAATGGGGTAGACAGGAGTATATATGGAATACAGGAGAATCCCCCAGGGAATTGTTTAGTCTTGTGATTAAAGTCAATGGAAAACTACAACAACTCAATTCAGGCAGGACTGCTAATAACCCAGATGCTTCAAGAATGAAGGTATAGGCCATACCATTACACAAAAAGCCTACAACCAGCTGAGGCGCTTGCTGAGGACAAAGGAAACATGGCATGGATAGTAGAAGAAGGTAGTTATAAATATCAGCAATGACCACATGGCCAGTTGCAGAGGATGGTAATAGTTATGAGTATTTCCTCCTTATTTGCATGATTATGTTTGTGTATATAGTAACCAAATATTTTTGTGGTTTTCCCTCTCTTGTTCCCTTATGATCTAGCATGTGATAATAATGACTAATTTCATATCTCAGTATTTATGTTACAAAATATCAAAGAAGACTCAACATCACCCAGGGATTTTGTATCCTCTTCTTTGGAAAGAGTTAGCCTGTTACAGTTGTGCATAGAAAGTTGTATCATGTTAGGCAGAATTATGACTTTGCTATTGTCTTTATTTGGACATTAAGTATGATATAAGCAGATGTATATGGGTGCCAAGTTGACAAAGGGTGCACTGTGATGGCTTTGTGATGTGCCAGCTTGGCTAGGCTGAACTACATTCCCCAGAATTTCCTTCCTAATATGTTCATAGTTAGGCTGAACTACAAGGGATATTTTCTTGCAAATTGGAGGACAAAAAGGGAGGGAGCAGCTATTTTGTATAAATCACTTACCTTCTCCCAGTTATTATTCAAACACTAATCTAGGTCTGCTGTGAAGGGATTTAGCAGGTGCAATCACCCTCATCAGTTGGCTTTAAATTAATTAAAAAAAAGCAAAGGATCAGATTGCATATGAGCCTAGCTTAGTCAACTGGAAGGCTTTTAAAAGAGGGCCTAGGCTTTCCCTCAGTTCAGAGACATCAAGCTTCAGCCTGTGCTCAAGGGTTGCAGCCCACGTGTGATCTTTCCTTTCTGACTGCCTGCCCTACAGACTTCAGGCTTGCTTAGTTAGTCCTCACAATTGTATAAGCTAATTCCTTATAATAAACAAATAAACTGGAATGTATGTACATATATGTAAATATGTATGTATATTTTTATATATTGATATTATATACTTTGTACATTTATATAACATAATACTATATGTAATAAATAGCATTTACATGATTATGACTGTGTCAGAGTTCAACCGGAGAAGCAGAAACATATATATGTATGTGTGTGTATGTGTATATATATATATGTATGTGTATATATATGTGTGTGTGTATGTGTGTGTGTGTGCATACATATATATGTGTATATATGTATATATATATGTGTGTATATATATATGTGTGTGTATATATATATATGTATATATATATATGATCTCCTACTGGTTCTGCTTCTCTAGTTGAATTCTGGAACAGCCATAATAATGTAAACACCATTTACTGATTTTTAACATTTAAACTAAATTTAATAACAAAGCATGTGTTGGCAAGTCAAGAAATAGAGAAATTAGCATATTTTATAATCATTAGGACATAGAAACGGGTAAAAGAGGATACCTCTGCAAAGTGAGACTAAGGCAAGAGCTGATTGGAGCTCGAAACTGTTGCTTTCACCATTAGTTTTTCTGTCCTACTTTGTTTGTTCCTATGTGTATATCTCCAAATAAAAGAAAACAGCTTTAAAAAGATACACTCTTTCCTCCCCACTGGACAAAATAGATTAGTAAAGAGTAGGGATTCTGCAGTTAGATTTCTTGGATTCTTATTCCTGTGGTCTTTATTAATGGTGTTACATTGAAAAGGTTACTTAGCCTCTTTAATCCCAAGTTTCCTTATCTGGGGGATAATACTGCCACTTACCTCACATTGTGTATGAGCGCGTGTGTGTATGTGTGTGTGGGTGTACACACATATATAGACTTTCACTTTGCTTTACTTAAATTGTAGCTTACTATACACCCTATTATTTTCTTTATTTTGAGTCTAACAATACATGTTGGAGATTTTTCTTATAGCTGCCCCATTCTTTTTATCAGCTGCCTGTTATTCCATTGTGTGGATGTTCTATAATTTATACAACCAGCCATCTATTGATAATCTTTTGCTATTACAAAAAGTATTCTCCTATCATTTCATATGTATAATATAGCTATAAAATAGATTTCTAAGAATAAAATTGCTGGGTTAAAAGAAATATGCTTTTAAAATGTTGATAATATCAAATTGTTCTACACTGCTGCCGTGGAGTCAGTATGCAAGAGTGTGTTTCCCCATACCCTCACCAAGTGCTATGAGATCTTGAAAACATTATATCATCATTAACTTTGCATTTCTTATATTATCTACTTCCTTTCTTCTGAACTGTTTGCTCATAGGTTTTGCCCATTTTTTGTAGGTTGTTGATCTTTTTCTTATTGATTTGTAAATGTTTTTATATGTTAAGAAAATTAGCCCCTTTTCTGTAAGTTGAATTACAAAAAAAATCCTCCATCTGTCCTTTGTCTTTTGATTTTTAAAATAGTGATGTGATATTTTTTCTTGTAGTTAAATAAATGGATTTTCTTTTTTATCTTCTGGTAATTTATTGTTTTATTTTCTTCATGTTGTATCTTTGATTCATCTGGAAGTCATTTTGGTATAATCTATGAAGCAGAGATCCAACTTTTTTTTTTTCAGATGTCTACTCAGTTGTCCCAACATAATTTACTGAATAACCCATTTTTTCTTCACTGCCTTAAAATAAAACGTTCATTTAATTGCAGCATATATTTGGATCTATTTCTGAGTTTTCTAGTCTATTTCTGTGAATTGTTAATCCACTCATGTGCCAGTATCTCATCTTCATTATTGTAGAACAAGGTGGGTTTTTTTGTTTTTTTTGTGTGTGTGTTTTTTTTTTTTTTTTTTGCATCAGCTTGTCCAGTTCCAAACAAAAACAAAAATAAAAGTAGCCTGTTGGGGTCAGTTAGGTTAACTTAAGGAGAATTCATATCACGATGATGTTGCATTTTTCTATTCAAATGTGGCAATGCCTTTACATTTCTTTAAGTTTTCTTTTTTGTTTTCTCCATGGTGTTTTATAAGTTTCTTCATATAGATTCTGTTTGTTTAGTTTTGAGACATTCAAATGTTTCATGCTGTCTATTCCTTTATTTTTATCTTTTTAGTAGTATCTCCGCCTACTGGGTTCAAGTGATTCTCAAGTGATTCTCCTGCCCTTAGCCTGTCTCAGTGACCTTACTGAATAATTCTACTAGTTGGCCTTTCAATTGATTCCTGGGTTCTGCAAATATTGGTATGATTTCCTTTTTTATTATCTAAATCTGTATTTTAGTTTTTAAATTTTTTATTTTTTAAATTGACAAAATTGTATATATCTATAGTTCATGACATGATTGTTTTGGTATACATATACATTGTGGAATGACTAAATCAAGCTAACTAAGATAGGTATTACCTCACATACTTATGTTTTTGTGGTGAGAACACTTAAAATCTACTCTCTTAGCAATTTTCAAGTATAAACAATTCCATATTGTTATTATGTACCACAGATGTACCACAGATCTCTTGAACTTATTCCTACTGTCTGTCTAACTGAAACTTTGTGTCCTTTGACTAACAAATTGCCAATCCCCTAAGCCTCAGCCTGTGGTAACCACCATTCTCTGCCTCTGTAAGTTCTACTAATTTAGATTCCACATGTAAGTGAGATTACGCAGTATTTGTTTTCTGTGCCTGGCTTATTTCACTTACTGTAATGTCCTCCTGGTTCATC
The DNA here is from genome assembly GCF_000001405.40 of Homo sapiens. Lineage (NCBI taxonomy): Eukaryota > Metazoa > Chordata > Mammalia > Primates > Hominidae > Homo > Homo sapiens. The sequence continues at coordinate 216,812 of NT_187598.1, forward strand.
CATATTGTCACAAATGATAGGATTTCCTTCTTTTTAAAATAGCTGAAACTGGACCCCTTCCTCACACGTTATACAAAAATTAACTCATTCAAAAGCTAGCAGAAGGCAAGGAATAACTAAGATCAGAGCAGAACTGAAGGAAATGGAGACACAAAAAACCTTTCAAAAAATCAATGAATCCAGGAGCTGGTTTTTTGAAAAGATCAACAAAATTGATAGACCGCTAGCGAGACTAATAAAGAAGAAAAGACAGAAGAATCAAATAGATGCAATAAAAAATGATAAAGGGGATATCACCACTGATCCCACAGACATACAAACTACCATCAGAGAATACTATAAACACCTCTATGCAAATAAACTAGAAAAATTAACTCAAGATGGATTAAAGACTTAACTGTAAAACCCAAAACCATAAAAACCCTAGAAGAAAACCTAGGCAATACCATTCAGGACATAGACAAGGGCAAAGATTTTATAATTAAATCACCAAAAGCAATTGCAACAAAAGCTAAAATTGACAAATGGGGTCTAATTAAACTAAAGAGCTTCTGCACAGCAAAAGAACTAGCATCACAGCAAACAGGCAACCTATGAAATGGGAGAAAATGTTTGCAATATACCCATCTGACAAAGGTCTAATATCCAAAATTTACAAGAAACTTAAATGAATTTACAAGGAAAAAACTCCATCAAAAAGTGGGCAAAGGATATGAACAGCCACTTTTCAAAAGAAGACATTTATGCAGTCAACAAACATGAAAAAAAGCTCAACGTCACTGACCATTAGAGAAATGCAAATCAAACCCACAATGAGATACCATCTCAGGCCAGTCAGAATGGTGATCATTAAAAAGTCAAGAAACAACAGATGCTGGCAAGACCGTGGAGAAATAGGAGCACTTTTACACTGTTGGTGGGGATGTAAATTAGTTCAACCACTGTGGAGGACAGTGTAGTGATTCCTCAAGGATCTAGAACTAGCAATACCATTTGACCCAGTAATCCCATTACTGGGCATACACCCAAAGGAATATAAATCATTCAATTATAAAGATACACGCATGCATATGTTCCCTGCAGCACTATTTGCAATAGCAAAGACTTGGAATTAACCCAAATGCACATCAATGATAGACTGGATTTTAAAAATATGGTACATATACACCATGAAATACTGTGCAGCTATAAAAAGGAAAAGATCATGTCCTTTGCAGGGACATGGATGGAGCTGGAAGCCATTATCCTCAGCAAACTAACACAGGAACAGAAAACCAAACACTGCATGTTCTCACTTATAAGTGGGAGCTGAACAACGAGAACACATGGACATTGAATGGGGGACAACATACACTGGGGCTGGTTGGGGGGCTGGGGAAAGGGAGAGCATCAGGATAAATAGCTAATGCATGCTGGGCTTAATACCTAGGTGATGGCTGATAGGTGCAGCAAACAACCATGGCAGACATTTACCTATGTAACAAATCTGCACGTCCTGCACATGTATCCCGGAACTTAAAATTAAATTAAATTAAATTTTTAAAAATCATTTAATAATTACATTGGTAAGATATTAACATTTGTATAAGGGGAAAAAAGAACTCTATGTCACTGCTTAATTTTAAATTTTAAAAATAATCTTCATTCATTCAAAAATATTTATTAAATGTGTGCATACCTCATTAGGGTCTTGGAATAAAATATCGACGTGTCCTTGCATTCATAGAATTTATAGTATAGTGAGGGAAAAAGACAAAAATAAGTAAAAATTTGAGTAAATAAATAAGAGATCATGAATAGTATTGTGCAATAACCAAGAATAATGGTGTTAAGAGGTATGTGCTACTGGGGGAATGCATTTGAGCATTGAGAGGTATGCATGATTGAGGGAATGCCTCTTTGAGATGACACCTAGACTAAAAGATGAGAAGGAGACCTTCTGGTGAAGAGTTGTGTACTTAAGGGGTGGCACTAGAGGGAGTGGTTGTGGAGGGCAGAGAGAATAGCACATGAACTTCTAATGACTTTTCCTCATCACGTGATTCAATATTTCAAGGTAGGATAAGGATGTGTGTAATGAGAGTACATAAAGTATAAAAATGATCTTGTTGGGATAGGGAAGGCTTCCTAGAACTCTTAAAGTTTGTGCCTTCATTTCTATGAAAATCTTTAAAAACAGAAACATTTTCTGCACCATTTGGATTATTCCATATAACTAAGAACTACCATATAATTCTATTGCCCAAGTATGTGTTCATAATTTTTGTGTTTAACTTTATTGTTCCAAGCTTGAATAGAAAGAACAATTCGCAGTATTCCTTTCTCTTCCCAACCCTCAATTTTGACTTTTGTTACATTGACCAAAAGCATGGGAAATAGCCCATCATCTGAATGTCCTTTTCTGGTTTCTCCTCATATCTTTAAGCTCTTTGTTTTAGAGAACCCCGGGGCTGAGACCTTGGTATTCCTCTCTATCTAGACTCATTCCCTAAGCAAGTCTGTCCAGGCTCTTGGCTTTGATTATCATGTGTATACAAATGGCTCCAAAATTTATATTTCCAGCACAAATCTGGTCTCTGAACTAAATCCTATATATCCAGTTGCCCTCTTGAATCTTTGGATGTCTCACACTTAAAGTTCAATATGATCAAAATGGAAGTTTTCATCCTGTCCTCCTACCACAATAAACCTTCTCCTTCTCCACAGTTCCTTCATCTCATCACCTACCCAGTAGCAAAAGTAAAAAAACTTGGGAGTCATTCTTGATTCTTTCCTTTATCTCATCCCTCCATCCTGTGCTTCCAAAATTTATATCACCTCTCTTCCTTTCTTTCCACTTATGATGCCACCACCCTAGCCAAAGCAATCAGCATCGGTGTTAGTCCATTGTTGCATCACCACAAACAAATACTTGAGGCTGAGTAACTTATAAAGAAAAGAGGTTTAATTGCCTTGCCATTTTGCAGACTGTACAAGCATGGTGCTGGCATCTGCTCAGTTTCTGATGAGGTCTCAGGGCACTTTTACTCATGGCAGAAGGTGACACAGAAGCAGACACGTCACATGGTGAGAGGAGGCAAGAGAGAGGTGGGAGGTGCCATACCTTTAAACGACCAGATCTCACATGAACTACCAGAGCAAGAACTCACTAATCACCAAGAGGATGGCGCTAAGCCACTCATACAGGATCCACTCCAATGATCCAAACACCTCCCACCAGACCCTGCCTCCAACAGGGGAATTACATTTCAACATGAGATTTGGAGGGGACAAACATCCAAACCATATTACCATCTATCAAACTACTACACTGCTTTCTTGATTTCTCTGCTCCCATTCTAAACATTGTCCATATGGGAATGACAATTATCTTTTAAAGACCTAAATCAGAGCGAGTATTTTGAAATTTGCTTCAATGGCTTCCCAATGCAGTTAGGATAAAATAAGAACTCCTCATCACGGCCAGCGAGGCCATTTATTATGATCTGGCTCCATACTGTATTTTGAAGTTTTCCAGCTTCATCTCACGCTGCTTTCATTCTCCCTTCCCTCTATCTCTATGCTTCCGCCACCCAAACTAGTCTTCTTTCAATTCCTTAAACATATCAAGTTCTCTACCTGAGGGATTTTCCATATTCTTCCTCTGCCTAGAAGGCTCTTGTTCTAGATCTTCACGTGATTTGCTTTCTCAGAGCTCAGGTCTCAGCTCAAATGTCACTTTCTCAAACAAGCTTTTTTGATCACTTGAATAATCCGAAGTACCTGGCACATCCTTTAAATCTGCTTTTTTTCTTTGTAGCACTTATGTAGGTTTAAAGACAAACTCCACATTACATAGCATGGGTTAAAGATATACTTTATTGGGGAAAGAGAAAACTTACAAGTAAAATGCCACGGTTAGTGAGAGAACAAAAGATATGGGTATCTCATTCTCCTCCTACAAGAACCAATACTATGGGGATTTGCTTCTAGTTAGAGAGACAATGGCCTCTCTGCTATTCTCCCTGTTTATACAGCCTTAACATTGGAGGAATACACTTGGTGCCAGGCAGTCTGACTTTGACAGCCCAGCAGGCTGCTTACTGGAGTTGTTTAAGAATGCCAGCTTTCCTGCAAAGTTGAAATCACCTCTGCTGGGAAGACAAAGCCACCAGTCTCATAAGATTTGAGCACAGCCCCTCCCATGACATAGAAGAGAACTCCCCCGTTCTCACAGTCCAGGAAACCTAGAGTGAGAATTCAAGGCTATTTTCAGACAATCCTGCTCCTTGAACTGTAACTAATTTCTTGTCTTTCTCCCTTACTAGACTGGAAGTTCCATTAATACAGCAACCATCTCTCTTTTGTCTCCTATTGTATTCCTATTACCAAGCAAAGCGCTGGGCACATATTAGGCACTCAGTAAACACTTTTTGAATGAATGAATGGTAAATTGGGCACAGCAGGTACAACAAAAATAGATTCAAGATTAGAAAAACACAGCCAAAACACATTGATTTTCTGTCATTAGAGTGAAACAAAAATCAGTAAGTCTAGTCTAGCAGGAATGGTTCCAACTTATGAAATTCTTTCTTGATTCAGGTTTCTGATCAAACTAATTCCACAGAGCTTAAAATTAGCCTCAGTGGAGAGGTATTTATGGTGTATAATGGCAACAGTAGGATGAGTCAGATACTGCTCTAGTGGCACTGACTATAACATGTGGCACACTGGGTTGACTCAGTCCACCAAAAGCCCTTCAAAGAAAACTGTGCCTTTATATCAAATATGCTCACATGGCTGAAAAGGAGAAATTTAATAAGTCAATATACAGGTAGCACATGATATCAGCACTCCAACCATAGCTACTGGAATTCATTAACCTTTTCACGCACATGGCTCCTGGTGTGCTTTCACCCCCACAGCCAATGCCAGTGTCAGTCAGAGGGCTGCTCTTAAGCTGCCAAAGACCATTTTGCCTGAGTAAATTTCCTGGAAATTTACATCTCCCCAGGGACACTTAAACCAGTGGTTCTGAATGAGGACGTGACTTTGAGCTCCAGGAGTCAAAGTGTCTAGAGATACTTTTGGTTGTCATAACCGGGCCGGGAAAGGTGGCTGGGAGGCTACTGGCATCTAACACATAGAAGCCAGAGATTGTAGCCAGACAGCCTACAATGCGCAGGACAGACTCCCAAGACAAAAAACAAAAACAAAAACAAAAACAAAAACAAAAAAAACCAAAGAATTACCCCCAAAATGTCAATAGTATCAAGGCTAAGAAACTCCACCTCAAACAATGACTGATGGGCAGGGAAGTATGCACACTGTAGTTTTTTTCTCTTGTACCTGATTGGAACAGTTCTGAGATATGATCTACACTGTCTCCAGGGCTCTCCAGGGGGACTGAGCTAAAATTACTTGCTTGGAAGTTTGCCTGACATTGTACCATTGTTTTGTTTCCTTCTCTTCCCTGGCCACTTCCCCACTCCTCTACCAATTTTTCCTGAGAACACCTCCTAATAAGCCGCTTTTACACAAATTCCCATTTCAGGATTGCTTCTGGGAGAAACAAGCCAAAACAATATGTACAAGTGGATATTAAGGAGAACTACAGATTTTATGTGCATAATGTGGAGTAGGTTACTAAATGGTTAGCTATACTGTAACAGAACTCATAGCTGGACAAGCCCATAAGTAGGGTATCAGAGCATCTTAAACCAAGAAAGCATGGTGTGTTAGGAAAAAAACTAACAGTGAAGTTAGGAAACCCAGGTTCCAGTCTCACCTCTTAAGTGAGATCTCAAGTAAATCACAGCCAAGTGGAAAAGAGAAAATAAAAACTGGACAGTTATCTAACATTCTATGCTGTCTTAGAGCAGTGGTTCTCAAACAGGGGCAATTTTGACCCCTATGGAACATGTGACAATGTTTGGAGACATTTTTGGCAATCATAACCGGGAGCAGGGTGCTACTGGCATCTAGTGAGTAGAGCCCAGGCATGCTGCCAAACATCTATCTCATAATGCACAGGCAAGTCCCCCCTGCTCCCCACCAGCAAAGGATTATCCAGCCCAGAATGTCAATAGTGCTAAGGTTGAGAACTGCCTTACAGAGAAAATTAGATTAGATATTAACCTAAGAAATTTCTGAGGCTTAAAGTTATTAAAAATAGGTAATGTATTATTGAAGGAGACTACAACATAGTCTCTATATCCTTAAAAACAGCATATGGATGCTTTTCTGCATAAGATTGGGAGGGGTTATTCTAAACAGATCTTGAAATGTTATGTGGGAGAACTAAGCACCTATCCAAGTAGCTAGAGACAGAGGAGAGAGCAGGGGCCTGAATCTTAGCAGGTTTGCCATAGTGCTGAAGACTTGACTCTCACCCATGTACTGGGATTTAAATATATTATGAGCATATCTCCAGATCCATCCATCTCCCCTGCAATCACTGAAGACAACCTCCCTCACATGTTTAATAACTTTTGTATGCAACTTTGGGGACCAATTTTTCTCCACTAACATTTTCCTGGAGGGAAAAAGATAGTTTCTCCAAATTATATACAGGTAAAGATAAAACTATTTTATAGTTAGCTTATCTGAGTTAATAAAAACACTTAAATGTATAACATATTTGCTTATGAATCCGGGTTTATTCATGTGACAGGTGGTAAGATGATGCCATACTTAACTTTGACTTCACATTCCTGTTGGTCAAAGCCTCTCACACCCTTTTTAAACAAAGCTGGCAGTAAAATCCAACATATTGCGTAACTAACCAACGTTACATATTGCTCAGAAAACTCTACACTCCCAACAGGAAATTCCAGGAATGAAAGGATTTCTGTTTCATTATCAGAAAGGTGCCTTGTACTAGTAACCACAATAGGTAGGGTAAATTAAAAGATTTATTCCTGGATTGTTAATTTCTCTGAAAGGACTTAAGAACAAACTTAAAACTTTTGAGGTAGGTCTGACATAATGAATTCTCTTTCATCTGTGATAATACTTTTAAATGTGTTATCAGAAACTCTTCAAAGGTGCTTAGAACTTTGAAAGGCTAGCTGCTGTCACTTGAAAGTTAGGGTGACAGCTGAGACAGAGCCCAAGGTTTTCATTTGGGTAACTTGCCTGTCATGGATAGACCTAGCAGAGGCCTGTTTTCTGCACTTCACTGAAGTCTTATTCATCAGGAGTCAGGCAATAAGAGGCACATTTTCCTCTCCATGGTCTTTGGTAGACTCACTCATTAGAGGAGGACGTAGATATCATCTATTACAACTTCCACCATAAGGCACTTTGACAACCTGCTGTCAACTGCCAGATCAATACATGTTTAACAGAAATGCAGAGTTTTAGCTTTTTAGATCCAAGGTCTCAAAGCTGAGTATTTGCTCTTGATGATACAATTGTCAGTGTTATAGTCAGTAGCAAAGCATACATTTTAAGTTGATTTGTACTGTTCAAAGTCACTAAATGCAAAATTTAAAAAACTAAATAACAGTGATTTTTTGTTACTCCCATTATCATGTTTTAATCTTGCAGGGACATTGTATATCATCAAAGACATGAAATTAACATTAATTAAGATTCTACTCCAAATTTTCCAATATGTTTAAGTAAGATGCATTTAACTATTGAAGTGGTTGGGGGTGGTGGGTAACTGAAGGTACCAATTTAAATGAAGGCAACTTTACTGTCATTTGTGGTATTTAAAAAATAATAAACCTAAAAATGAGGTCTACTTTTATTCTTTACAGATTTGACATGTCAATCTTTATTTAAGACAACAAAAGTTTGTACACCCTCATATTAAGATATATTTCCTTTCTAGTCATATTAAAATAATCTCATTTTGTTACTCAAAAAGAATACATAGGGAAGAGAATGAACATAATTCAAGTAGATAGATTTCTAATTGGTTAAAACAGGGTTAAACAAATGATGTTCAAAATATACTTATTAAAGGGAACAGCACCTAGAAATAGGCAGTAGGGCAATGTTCACTTTAAGAATTTTATCAATAACTAGGGCAAAGAACAAAATCATTATCAAATTTTGAATTACACAAAAGCAATGGCCTATTACCTTGTTAACATTTGATATTTCTATATATCTTCTTCTCTAGTTGAAATGGGTAATGACTTGTATTACAAGGATGTTACACATTCTAAAATGATTTAAGCCAAAAGATTATCTTTAATACATTACTTCTAGATATAATATGTACTTGATGTCTGTTGCATCAAAGACTACTAAACTAGGCATCAAGAAACATGAATCCTTGACTCAGCTCTGTCATTAATTACCTTATAAATCTATGTAAGTCATTTATTTTGGACCCGGTTTGTTATTATAAAATGTTCATTTTAGCTCTGAGGTTCTGTGGTTCTAAGATAAATCATATGGGTTAAGTAACTAATAACATTTTAAAATAGCAATTGTTATGTGAAAATCCACGTTAGGTTAAATGCCATCAACCACTGAAAAACAGGATTGCAAGAGGAAGAAGAAAACTGGCCTAACAATAGCTCATTTAGAGAAAAAGACCTAGTGATAAACCGTAAAGTTCAAAGAGTGATAAGTCCAGAGGTAAAATGAATGAAATCTTGAGTCACATTATTAGAAATATAGCAACCAGACTACAGAAGAGAATAATCTTGTTGCAAGTGCTATGAGCTGGTCACTTCATATCTGGAATACTCAGTATAATTGCAAACCAGAAACACAGTATTTTTTTTTCTTTTTGAGATAAAGTCTTGCTCTGTCACCCATGCTGGAGTGCCATGGTATAATCACAGCTCACTGCAGCCTTGAACTCCTGGGCTCAAGGGATCCTCCTACCTCAGCCTTCTGAGTATCTGAGACTACAAGCACATGCCACCATGCCTAGCTACAGTTTTTTTGTTTTTTTTTTTTTGTAGAGACAGGATCTCCTTATGTTGCCCAGGCTAGACTTGAACTCCTGGGCTCAAGGGATCCTCCTGCCTTGGCCTCCAAAAGTGCTGGGATTATAGGTGTAAACCAGTGTGCCTAGCCTACAGTTTTTTAATTTTATAAAATGTTATTTCTAATTTTTCTCCAAAAGTAAAAGTGGCATTCCAATGGCAATATTAATTCAGGTATCCAGAACTCTTAACCTAAATTTGGGTGAGATGAGGAAAAGTGTATTGTTAATTTTATGTGTCAACTTGGAAGGTGTTTCTGGATGGGAATAACATTGACACTGATGTCCTCTGAGTAAAGAAGATTGCCCTCCATGATGTATGTGCACTTTATCCAATCAATAGAAGACCTGAGTAGAATGAAAAGACCACCTTCTCCAAGCCAGAGGAAATTCTCCAGCAGACTTCTGTGAGACTGGAACTGCACCATCAGCTCTCTTGGGTCTTGAGCCTGCCAGACCACATTGCAGATTCTTGGACTTCCCAGTTGCCATAATCACATATGCCAATTCCTTATAATAAATGTGTGTGTGTGTGTGTGCACGCACGTGTGTTTGTGTATTCAATCACATATTAATAGCTTTTATTTTTTGGTTTTGATCCCACCAAGACCAAAGCTAATGATTTCAGGTATTGAGGTTTGTATCTGAGTCTGTCTCTTCTTCTGTATCCCAAGAAAAGGAGAAATAAGCATTCCCAAAGAACATGGATTTACATATCATCGAATTCTCTTTTTCTCAGGACAGACTGTTTCAAAAGACTGGTGGCAGGTAATTAATCTCTTTTGATTAATGTTAACTATTTCTACTTGAGTCAGATTCAGTTGGGAAGATTGCCAAGCATTAATGGTCATTCAGTTGCACAAAAATCAGCTGAGAGCTTTCTCCTACCACTTTCTCATAGACATGCATGTAAGGCTGTATATCAATGTATGTTGAATAATGAAAAACTAAAAATTTTAAATGACTGGCACAACTTGGTATGGTCATAAGGCTGATAATAGGTTTCAAATGAATCATAGTACTATAAAACAAAAAAAAATACAAAGAAACAGTCTTCTCTGGATTCCATATATAATAGACACTCAATATACATTAGTTCATTGAAAACTACATCTAGCTTAGATTAATTTTAAAGCATGTATCTATTAAGACAACCATTTCTGTTTTTCTCCCCAACATAGCAGAATAGTGGCTTTGCCAGCTTGCCTCATGCATTTGGAAAAGGCAAAATAATGTGTAGAGATTCATACTGTGAAATTTTATCCAAGAAAGAACACGGGAGTTCAACATAAAAGTGAAAGAAACTTTGGATACTCTGAAAAATAAGGCAAGCAGCAGCCTGCGGGGTGGATCTGGTGGGAAACTGTGAGTGAATCCTCAGTGTGTGAGACGGGGAGAAACTGTCTCTGTGATACACATTCCCACTGGACAGCCAGGCAATCCAGGCCATGGAGGAGCTTCTTGACTTTACCAAGCCCTGATCTGACTCAGGGAGCAGTCAGGAGACCATGAGAAGGAACGGCACTGGGAAGTACCCCACACACACTCCCAAACATGGGTGCTGATAGGAGAAAGCCATTTTTGATGCTAACTCATAGTGGGTTGTATAAGAACCTGCCAACAAGCATGGGTTGCAGTCACTGATTTGGAGAGTCTCTGGATGGGAATTTGCAATCTAGTTTTGAGTAGGAGAGGTGAGTGGCATGGGCTCCAGCCACAGGTGTGGGAGTTAGATGCCTGATATGGATTGGATCTGTGTCCCCGCCCAAATCTCATGTTGAATTGTAATCTCTAATGTTGGAGGTGGGGCCTGGTGGGAGGTGATTGGATCATGGAGGTGTTTCTCATGAATAGTTTAGCACCATCCCTTTGGTCCTATTCTTGTGATAGTGAGTGAGTTCTCATGAGATCTGGTTGTTTAAAAGTGTGTAGCACCTCCCCACTGGATCTCTCTTGCTCCAGACACGCCTACTTCTGTTTTGCCTTCTGCCATAATTGTAAGCTTTCTGAGGGCTCCTGGAAGCTGGGCAGATGCCAGCATCATGCTTCCTGTATAGCCTGCAGAACCATGAGCCAATTAAACCTTTTTTCTTTATAAATTACAAGTCTCAGGTATTTCTTTACAGCAATGTGAGAACAGACTAATACAATACCCTCCCTTTGTGGTACTGAACTGGGAGGGTTTTAGTCTGATAGCCACAATTTTGACCTAGGCAGGAAGCTTTACAGCTTGAGGCAGTTTCATGGTCTGAAGACAAACTTCTTGTGACTTGCTGCCGGTGTTGGACTGCAGGAGAGAGCCTCACTGGGTCAGGAGCACGAGAACAAAGTGGATCCCACTACCACATCCCACCCCTCCTGTTTCAGAGGCATATCATGGGACCAGGACTACTGAGAGTTCCATGGCCCTACCCATCATCTGAAATGCCCAAGAACTTCTCCCGATTAACAAAGGTCAAGCATAAACTCTATTGCCACCACCACAGCTGGTTCTCACTTTTAGGTGCTACCTCCTGTCCTAAAGGTTGATCTACACAGTCCCTTACAACATCTGCCGACTCAAGAGCACAGAGCTCAAGAAGGAGACAAGCTTTGCATTGCCTCTGTTACCATCATTGCCCACGCCACCCAGGCTACTCAGGAGGCCTTGAGCCCACTCACCCACCCAGTACATCACTACTACACTTGGCATTTGAGAAAGCTACCACACAGGTTACTTATAACCAAGGAAATCATACAAAATCTATGCCACTGAATGTACCCAGAAGCAAAGCCAAATGACCCTACTTAACAAACACCATAGTCGCATCCTCAAGAAAAAAAAGTCCCACCCTAATGAAGGTAAAATTAAAAATAAGAAGCAGCAACTGGGCTGAGCACAGTGGCTCATGCCTGTAATCCCAGCACTTTGGGAGACCGAAGTGGGAAGACTGCTTGAGGTCAGGAGTTTGAGACCAGCCTGGCCAACATGGTGAAACCCCAACTCTACTAAAAATATTAAAAAATTAGTCAGGCATGGTGGCACACACCTGTAATCTCAGCTACTCAGTAGGCTGAGGCACAAGAATCATTTGAAGCTGGGAGGTGGAGGTTGCAGTGAGCCAAGATTGTGCCACTGCACTCCAGCCTGGGCAACAGAGCAAGACTCTGTCTCAAAAAAAAAAAAAAAAAAATTCTGGAAATGAAAAATTCATTGAAAGAATTACAAAATACAGTTGAAATATTCAATAATAGACTAGACCAAACAGAAGAAAGAATCTTAGAATGCAATGACTGGGCTTTTTTTCTCACTGAATTAATCCAGTGAGAAGAAAATAGAGAAAAAAGAATTTAAAAGAATAAGCAAAGCCTTAAAGAAGTATGGGACTACATAAAACAAGCAAACTGATAAATCACAGGCATTCCCAAGGGAGAAGAAAAAGCAAAAAGTTTAGAAACACTATTTGACTCACGCCTGTAATCCCAGAACTTTGGGAGGCCGAGGTGGGCGGCTGGCGGATCACGAGGTCAGGAGATGGAGACCATCCTGGTTAACATGGTGAAACCCCGTCTCTACTAAAAAAGTACAAAAAATTAGCCGGGCGTGGTGGTGGGCACCTATAGTCCCAGCTACTCAGGAGGCTGTGGCAGGAGAATGGCGTGAACCCAGGAGGCGGAGCTTGCAGTGAGCCGAGATCGCACCACTGTACTCCAGCCCAGGCGACGGAGCAAGACTCCGTCTCAAAAAAAAAAAAAAAAAAAAAGTATTCGAGAAAATAATTGAGGAAAACTTCTCTAGTCTACCAAGAGATTTAGACATTCAGATATAAGAGGCCCAGTGAACTCTAGGAAAACATGTTGCCTCACGACAACATATAGTCATCAGATCATCTAAAGTTAACATGAAGGAAAAAAATCCTAAATTCTGCAAGAGGAAAGCAGCTAGTCGCCTGATACAGTTTGGATGTTTTCTCACTCCAAATCTCATGTTGAAATATAATTCTCATTGTTGGAGGTGGAGCCTAGTGGGAGGTGTTTGGCTCACGGGGGCAGATTCCCCATGAATAGCTTTGTGCCCTCCCTGAGATAATTAGTGGTGATGGATTCATATGAGATCCGGTTGTTTAAAAGAGTGTAGCACCTCCCCTATCTCTTTCTTGCTCCTGCTCTTGCCATGTGACACAATAGTTCTCATTCACCTTCCTCCATGACTGTAAGTTTCCTGAGGCCTCACCAGAAGCCAAGCAGATTCTGGTAACATGCTTATACAGACTGCTGAACCATGAGCTAAATACTTTATAAAATACTCAGCCTTGGGTATTTATTTATAGCAATGCAAAAATGGCCTAACACATCACCTATTAAGGAAACTCCATCATACTAACAGCAGACTTCTCGGCAGAAACTTCAGAAGCCAGAAGAGATTGGGATTCTATTTTCAAAGTGCTTAAAGAAAAAACTGCCAACCACTAATCTTGTATCCTGCTGGAATAAGCTTTATAAATGAAGGCAAAATGAAGTCTTTCCCAGAGAAGCAAATACCCAAGGAATTTGTTACCACTAGACCAGTCCTACCATAAATGTTAAAGGAGTTTTAAACATGGAAGTGAAAGATCAATATTTGCCATCATAAAAACATATGACAGTATTGTCAATGAAAAGAGTTAAACTCTGTAAAATATTTGAAGAAACTTATTCTGAGCCAAATATGAGTGACCATGGCCCATGACACAGCCCTCAGGAGGTCCTGAGAACATGTGCCCAAGGTGGTTAGGATGCAGCTTGGTTTTATATATTTTAGGGAGACATGAGACTTCAATAAAAAAAATTTAAGAAATACATTGGTTTGGTCCAGAAATGCAGGACAACTTGAAGTGGGGGCTTCCTGCTTATAGGTAGATTTAAAAACTTTCTGATTGACAATTGGTTGGGTTTATCTAAAGACCTGGGATCAATAGAAAGGAACGTCTGGGTTAAGATAAAGGATTGTGGAGACCCAAGTTCTTATTTGCAGAGGAAGTCTTCAGGTACTAGGCTTCAGAGATCATAGGTTGTAAAATGTTTCTTATCAGACTTAAAGTCTGTGTTGATGTTAATGCCAGAGAGGTATAATGAGGCATAACCAACCCTCATTTCCCATCATGGCCTGAAACAGTCTCTCAGGTTAAATATTAAAAGAGCCTTGGTTGAGGAGGAAGTCCATTCAGATGGTTGAGGGGGGGCTTAGTATTTTATTTTTGGTTTACAGTATAAAACTCATAGGTCTTATAAAACAATCACACAGAGAGGACAGGGGAAGAAATCAAATGACAAAACAACAAATGACCAAATCACAAAGACAGATGGACAAAAAAAAAAAAAACCAAAGAATCTACAAAGAAACTAGATAACAATTAATAACATACTAGAAACAAAACCTCACATATCAATATTAACCTTGAACGTAAATGTATTAAACACTACACTTAAAATATATAGATTCATGGAATGGATTAAAAAAAAAAAACATGAACGAACTATATGCTGCTTACAAGAAACTCACCTTACTGATAAAGACACTTACAGTAAGGAGGTAAAGTGGTAGAAAAAGATATTCCATGCAAATGGAAACCAAAAGTGAGCAGGAATAGCTATACTTATATCAGATAAAACAGACTTTAAATCAACAACAGTAAAAAAAAAACTACCAAAAAAAGTTATTATACAATGCTAAAGGGATCAATTCAATGAGAGGATATAACAATCCTAAATATATATGCACCCAATGCTATAGCACCCAGATTCATAAAAACAAATATTACTAGACCTAAAGAGGGTAATAGACAGCAATACAATAATAGTAGGGAATGTCAACACCTAACTCAGCACTAGAGAGATCATCAAGACAGAAAATTAACAAACACTGGACTTTAATTGGACTTTAGACCAAATGAACTTGACAGACATTTACAGAAGATTCTACCCAAAAACAGCAGAATGTATATTGTTCTCATCAGCACATGGAGCATTCTCCAAGACAGTTCAAAGAAGAACTGGTACTGAACCTCCTCAAAATGTTCCCCAAAATTGAGGAATCCTTCCTGACTCATTCTGCAAAGCCTGTATCACCCTGATATCAAAGCCAGACAAGGACATAACAACAACAACAACAACAAAAACTATAGATCAATATCCCTGATGAACACAGATGCAAAAACCCTCAACAAAATACTAGCAAACTGAATCTAACAGCACATCAAAAAGATAATATACCACAATCAAGTAGGTTTTATTCCAGGGATGCAAGGAGAGTTCAACAAACACAAGTCAATAAATGTGATTCACCACATCAACAGAATTAAAACAAAAACCATACGATCATCTCAATAGATGCAGAAAAAGCATTTGATGAAATTCAGCATCCCTTCATGATAAAAGTCCTAAAAAAAGAGGTATAAAAGATCATTATACAAAATAATAAAAAGCATATATGACAAACCCACAGCCAACATCATACAGAATGAGGAAAAGTTAAAGGTATTCCCCCTAAAAACTGGTACAAGACAAGGATACCCACTTTCACCACTCCTATTCAACATACTACTGGGAGTCCTAGCCAGAGCACTCAGGCAAGAGGAAGAAATAAAAGGTATCCAAATTGGAAACAAGAAAGTTAAATTATCTGTTTGCTGACAATATGAGCTTATACCTAGAAAAGCCCTAAAGATGCCTCTAAAAGGCTCCTAGATTTGATAGATGGATTCGGTAAAGTTTCAGAATACAAAACCAATGTATAAAAATCAGTAGCATTTCTATATATCAAGAATGATCAAGTTGAGAACCAAATCAAGAACTCAATCCCATTTACACTAGATTAAAACATATATCTAGGAATATATTATTTAATGAAGGAGGTGAAGATCTCTATAAGAAACACTATAAAACACTAATTTTTAAAAAGTATTAACAGATGACATAAACAAATGGAAAAATATTTCAGGCTCATGGAATAGAAGAAACAATATCATTAAAATGATCATACTGCTCAAAGAAATCTACAGATTCAATGCAATTCCTATCAAAATATCAATATCATTTTTCACAGAATTAGAAAAACCAGTCCTAAAATCCATATGGAACCAAAAAAGAGTCCAAATTACCAAAGCAATCCTAAGCAAAAAGAACAAAGCTAGAGGCATCACATTATCAACTTCAAATTAGAAGAAAACCTGTTAGGGAAAACTCTTCTGGACATTGACCTAGGCAAAGAATTCATGACTAAGACCTCAAAAACAATTGCAAAAAAAAAAAAAAAACACACACAAAATAGAAAAATGGGACTTCAATAAACTAAAAAGTTTCTCCACAGCAAAAGAAATAATCAATGGAGTAATTACTTGAAAAATCAGATAAAATATCTGCAAACTATGCATCTGACAAAGGATTACTATCCAGAATCTACAAGGAACTCAAATAAGTCAACAACAAAAATACAAATAACCCCATTTAATAGTGGGCAAAGGATGTGAAAAGACATTTTTCCAAATAAGACATGGAAATGGCCAGCAAGCATATGAAAAAATGATTAACATAATCATAGGAGAAATGGCAAATTAAAAGCACCATGACATATCATCTCACACCAGTTTAAAAGGCTACTTTTTAAAAGTCAAAAAAAGGCCCGGTGCAGGTGGCTCATGCCTGTAATCCCAGTACTTTGGGAGGCTGCGGCAGGCGGATCACCAGGTCAGGAGTTCAAGACCAACCTGGCCAACATATTGAAATCCTGTCTCTACTAAAGATACAAAAATTAGCCAGGTGTAGGGGTATACGCCTGTAATCCCAGCTACTTGGGAGGCTGAGGCAGAAGAATAACGTGAACCCGGGACGCGGTGATCACACCATTGCACTCCAACCCCGGGTGACAGTGCAAGACTCTATCTCAAAAAAAAAAAAATTGATGTTAATGAGAATGTGGAAAAAAAGGGAATGCTTATATACTATCAATAGGAATATAAATTAGTATAACCTCTATGAAAAATATGGAGATTCCTCAAAGAACTAAAAATAGAACTACTATTCAATCTAGCAATCTCATTATTGTTTAATTTACCCAAAGGAAGTCATATTAAAAAGTCATATAAAAAAGATACCTGCACTCATAACTTTATGGCAGCACTATTCACAATAGCAAAGATATAGACTCAACGTAAGTGGTGTCCATCAGCAGATGATTTGATAAAGGAAATATGGTATATATATACCACATCTATATACATATATATATAATTATACATATAATTATATAAATGTGCTGAAATGTGTCCATATATACACATATTAATATACTTACATATATAGTTACATAAAGACACATATATCTATTTATATATAATTATATATATAAAAAGACACAAGGAAATTGTTATAGTAAAATACCTGTTTCTTTCTTTCCTTCTTTTTTTTGAATTTTTATTGGTAGGGATGGAGCTTCGCTATGTGGCCCAGGCTGGTCTCAAACTCCTGGCCTCAAGTGATCCTCCCACCTCAGTTCTCTTAAAGTGTTAGGATTACAGGTGTGAACCACCACATCTGTCAAAATACCTGTTCTGTCTTTATATGCTCCTCACATTCTCTAGGAAGTTTTCCATTTTTATTACAGGGTCACTGGAAAGTGTTATAAATGCACTTTTGATACTATCTGGCATCAGATAAAATGACAATTTATATATACGTATGTACATATTATAAATATATGTTATATATTATATTGTATGTATTATTATAAATACATATAAATATATAATCTATATAAAAATGTATATGTACACATATAAATTGTTGTTATAAAATACCTGTGGACAGCCGGGCATGGTAGCTAACACCTGTAATCCCAGCACTTTGGGAGGCTGAGGTGGGCAGATAACTTGAGGCCAGTGTTTGAGACAAGCCTGGCCAACATGGTAAAACCCTGTCTCTACTAAAAATTCTAAAATTATCTTGGCATGGTGGAACATGCCTGTAGTCCCAGCTACTTGGGAGGCTGAGGCAGGAGAATTGCTTGAACCTAGGAGGTGGAGGTTGCAGTGAGCCGAGATTGTACCGCTGCACTCCAGCCTGGGTAACAGAGTGAAACTCTGTCTCAAAATAAAATAAAATACCTGGGGTATATTACACACACACACATACACACACACACATATATATATACAGATATACACACACATGTATATATACATATATATAAATATAATATACATAATGGAAAAACTACTCAGCCACAAAAAGTATTATCATATCTTTTTCAGCAACATGGGTGGAACTAGAGGCCATCATCTTATGAGAAATAACTTAGAAATAGAAAGTCAAATACCACATATTCTCACTTATAAGTGGGAGCTAAATAATGTGTACACATGGACATAGAGTGTGGAATAATAAACATTTGAAACTCAGAAGGGTAGGAAGGTAAGAAGAGGTGAAAGATGAGAAATTAACAAATACTCATTATTTGAGTTATGATTACACTCAAAGCCCAGACTTCACAACTGCATAATATATCCATGTAACAAAACTGCATTTGTACCCCTTACATTTATACAAAAAATATAAACTATTTCTCATGTGCTTATTATTTTCTTTGGGTATGGACATTAAATTAACCTCTTCAAATGGACATGATTTTACTTATGACCAATTGGCTTCGTAACGGTACCTGATGTTTCACTCTTACTTTTCTCTATTCCTAAAAACTTGAACTTTGTCTATATTTGTTTTCTCATTATTACTGCCATGACAAAGTTATTTGGAATCTTAACAGATAAAGCCTTTTCCATGAGTGTAAATTTTCAGATGTTTTTTATAGGTATACTTTGGTAAACTCCCCTCCAAAAAAACATTCTGGAAGGTTTCTATAATTGTGACTATATCCTAGATACAGTAAGAAGAAAAGATAAACTCAGATTAAGTAAATTCTTGAGTAGCTTTAGCTCTAAGAACTTGTAACTTTCTCTAGCAAATACTACTGTAATATGCTAAATTGATGGCAACCATTCTGCCACAGTGGTTAAAAATGCAAATAAGTTACTTTTACATGACTTGTTAGCACCACCAACCCCCTACAAAAAGGGGAAAGACATGACTGAATGAAAGAATCTTAAATTTTAGATTACACTGTGAACATTATGAATCTCATAATGAAGAAACCCTACTTCTGAAACTTGTAAAACATATTGTGACCTTACAGAGAATCAGCAAGTCTTTAAAATATAATACTGTTATAAGATTGTATTTCTTTCAAATAGCAGTACACCACACTTGACATGAAAAATCTACTTCTTACTATTTTCTTCCTAAGGCAAAAAAAAAAAAAATGAGAAAACGTTGTCACTTTTGGATAAATACAGTGATGTCAGATATAATAGTATCAAAAGTGTATTTATAACACTTTCCAGTGACCCTGCAATAAAAATGGAAAACTTGCTAAAGAATTTGAGGATCATATAAAGACAAAAACAGGTATTTTAACAGATGTAATCCTTGTAATCCCAAAACTTTAAGAGGCTGAGGTGGGAGGATCACCTGAGGCCCGGAGTTTGAGACCAGCCTGGGCCACATAACAAGGCTCCATCTCTACCAAAAAAAAAAAAAAAAGTAAAGAAAGAAACAGTTATTTTATGACAACAATTTCCTCCTGTCTTTAGAAAACACATCACTGGTTAGAATCTCTCAGTTCCAGGCATCCAAATTCCAAACTGACATACTCTTGGGGTGCAGATTCACATAACTATGATGATGACCTGAAACAGTCTTTGACAAGCCAGAGAAGAATTCTACGCTAATAATTTTCTCTTACTTTCCTTGTGGTCCGAAGCTTACCAATCAACTACAATATAAACCCTGTTTAGCTTCCTTACCCTTTGAATGATAATGCCATATTTGCCATGCAGCTAATACAGTAATAAAGGAACCCCCACACCCCAAAAACAGTTTCTCAAAAGTGAAGAAATGTGTTAAGGAAGGAATAATCGAGTATGTTAAATACTTCAAATGCTATTGATAGACGAGATTTTGCAAACCTAGAGGCTTCAGACATACATTTATTTATTACCAAAGAGTGGAGAAAGTTCCTAAAACTGCACTTCAGATGACCCGGGTATAATGTCTGAGAGACATCGTAAAATGGGATTTTAACTTAGCAAGCTGAAATCTCATCAATTAAATGATAACTTGTCTGGCCAAAGATTCTGTAAACAGGTGGGGATGGTCAGAATGAAATATAGCAAATGGGACGGTCAAAGAAACGGTATAAACAGTGTAAGTCCTGTGCTCTCCAGGAGAAAGACACTAAATCTGGGCATCTGACAGTAAGGATCTTCAGCAGACTCCCGCTTGAGGCAGGATGTTACACTGGCCGCACCGTGGCCTGGATTATACCTCTGTCTACAATCCACTTCCCTTTGCTTTGATTGCATGCTCCCCAAACAATTACCTGGCTTCTAAAATTCAACTTAATGCATGCCCTGACACAATACAGAGATGCTGTAAAGGCAGACATAAATATTTATATCATTGGAAGGGACTATCTTCCATTTATAAATTAGTAAACTGGTATACAGTTTGCACATCAGACTTTGGAAAGTTTTATTAGCTGAACTAATTCCCCTAATTTATTAGCATCCTGATGAAATTAAAATTCAAGCCTGGTAAAACTGAGGGCCTAGACTTAAGGAATGTGAAGCCATCCTGAGTTGTTTTGGTCTTCCCAAGTTATTCTCACCTCCCTTCTCAAACAACAACCAAATTTACGTACCTCTCTTACAGCAACCAATCACAATCACGCAGGGTCCTGAAAAGAATTATTATTTCTGCTTTACAAATTAATATTTTGGGTGGTTAAACCGAAGTTTTCCAAATGTGGCCAAAACCAAAAGATTAATATCTTCCAACATCCTGATTTAAAAAAATGAAATAAGTATATCTTGTTCATTTTCCTTACTCCTAGGGCACAGAAATTATCTAGGCAATAAGATTAATATGGAAAAAGTGATTAAGAAATTCAAAAGAACAGATTACATT
Organism: Homo sapiens; assembly: GCF_000001405.40. Taxonomy (NCBI): domain Eukaryota; kingdom Metazoa; phylum Chordata; class Mammalia; order Primates; family Hominidae; genus Homo; species Homo sapiens. The sequence goes on from NT_187598.1 coordinate 237,780, forward strand.
TTCATGTGTGAACTGCCTCAAGATAAAACTACATAGACTAGGTATGTGTTTGCATTTCACTATGTTCTACCTCCTTCAATAATTGGGGGCTTTAAGATTCACAAGCTAGGTGCAAATTATTGCTAGTGTGACTCACTATTAGTGATGGAAATGTGTCATACCCTTCAGATATGCTGGGAAAGAAAAAAGGTCAAGAACTATTTTCTTTCATATACCCAGGTAAATCATAAGGGAAAAAAATTTTTTAACCTTATCAGCTTTCAAGAAGGAAGCAGGGATAGAAACTCCTTGAGAATTCATCATTTATTACCACATAGCTGAGACAGAATGTGAGACACAATGAGCAGATCCGGCTCTGTACAACCATATATAACCTAAGCCAAAGACTCCATGGCATTATCCCAAACACTTTACTGTTCTGTTGTGTCTACAACTTAGTTTATTCTGGACTAGGAAAGGGAAAACTTCCTTATTTGTCAAGCTTAGTTTTTTTCTGGACTGGGAAAAGAAACACACTTGACTGTGATCAAATCTGTTACAATATTTCCACCACTCTTCCTACCCCGTTGATCATTTATTTCCCTCATTTTCAGGAAAACATGTCATTTTTCTAATTCTACAAGATAAATGGCATGTGTATTGTGAGCTTGGGTATATGCACATACACACACATTATCATAAGCCAAATCCTACCACTTACAGTAATTTTCTTGACCCTCGATGTGGCCATTCCCCTGTAAAAGCCCAGTATCTTGGGGCTGGGCACGGTGGCTCACGCCTGTAACCCCAGCATTTTGGGAGGCCGAGATGGGCAGATCACAAGGTCAGGAGATTGAGACCATCCTGGCTAACACGGTGAAACCCTGTCTCTACTAAAAATACAAAAAAATTAGCCAGGCGTGGTGGCAGGCGCCTGTAGTCCCAGCTACTCTGGAGGCTAAGGCAGGAGAATGGCGTGAACCTGGGAGGCGGAGGTTGCAGTGAGCCAAGGTCGTGCCACTGCACTACAGCCCGGGCAACAGAGAGAGACTCCGTCTCAAAAAAAAAAAAAAAAAAAAAAAAAAAAAAAAAAAAGAGCCAGGCATGGTGGCACGTGCCTGTAGTTCCAGCTACTTGGGTGGCTGAGGTAGAAGGATTGCTTGAACTCAGGAGGTTAAGGCTGCACGTGAGCTATGATCACACCACTGCACTCCAGACTGAGTGACAGAGTGAGACCCTGTCTCAAGAGAAAAAAAGTAGCTCAAGGAAAATAATATCTTTAAATATTCCTCTTTAGGTGGGGCAAAGGACATGAACAGACACTATTCAAAAGAAGACATACATTTGGCCAACAAGCCTATGAAAAAGTGCTGAACATCACTAATCATTAGAGAAATACAAATCAAAACCACAATGATATACCATTTCACACCAGTCAGAATGGCTAGTATTAAAAAGTTAAAAAACAACAGATGCTGGCAAGGTTGTAGAGAAAAAGGAATGCTTATATACTTCTGGTGGGAATGTAAATTAGTTCAGCCGCTGTGGAAAGCAGTTTGGTTATTTCTCAAAGAACTTAAAACAGAACTACCATTCAACTCAGCAATCCCATTATTGGGTCTATACCCAAAGGAATATAAATTGTTCTACCATAAAGACACGTGCACACTTAATGTTCATCACAGCACTATTCACAATAGCAAAGGCATGGGATCAACCTAGATTCCCATCAACGGCAGACTGGATAAAGAACATGTGGTACATACACACCATGGAATACAATACAGCCATAGCAAAGAACAAGATCATGTCTTTTGCAGCAACATAGATGGAGCTGGAGACCATTATCCTAGGCAAACTAATGCAGGAACAGAAAACCAAATACCATATGTTCTCACTTATAAGTAGGAGCTAAACATTGAGCACACATGGCCACAAAGAAGAGAACAACAGAAACCAGAGCCTACTTGAGGGTGGAGGGTGGGAGCAGGGCAAGGATCAAAAAACTACCTATCAGGTACCATGCTTATTACCTGGGTGAGGAAATAATCTGTACATCAAACACCTGCAACACATAATTTACTATATAAAAAAACTGCACATGTGCCCCTGAAACTAAAAGTTTTTTAAAAAATAAATGTATCTTTTTTTGGGGAAAAAAACCTGGATAATAATGCATTAGTACATTATTAACATGAGCATTTGAAGACAGAGAGAGATTCAGTGACGAAGATTGGCATATAGAACAGTCATATAGAAGGAAAGACCAGGAACAGACTTTCTGATTTTCTATTTGTTCATTCATTGCATGAAACCCATCAAATTTTAGTTGAAAATATTCTGTATATTCTGATGTATTCACTAAAATACAAGCTCTATGAGGGCGGTGTTTTTTGGTCTATTTTGCTTAGTGTTGTATTCCTAGCACCTGAAATGAGCGGCACAAAGTAGGTGCCCAATAAATATTTGTTGAAAATAAATATTGCTATGTTCTAGTTAGCTGAGCATTTACAGTAGAGAACTCTTAGGGTCTTTTCCAGGCAGGAGAGCCAGTGATTTTTATTACCACAGACCAAACTAGTTTTCAGATTTTCCATCAGGAAAGCAAAACATAGAGCAGGAGTTTTGGCAAATAGCAGGGATTGGAGAGAGAGGGAAGAAGGAGGGCAGGAGGAAAGGATGCAGGAAAGGAGAAGAGGAAGGGGTAATATAAGAATTTTGTATATATTCCTCTGAAGGAAATCTGAATTACAACAAGACAACTTACGTAAAACGAAAATGCATATAGTATTAGGAAGCATATAGGGTCACTATACAACTGCACCCTTACCTTCTTACTTTTCCATCCTTAACTATTCTCCATAAACTTCCCTTACTCTTAAAGGCCTCTATCTGGTTGTCCATCCGTCCTTCCCAGGGTTCTTTTTCATTATGACTTAAGAAAACGTTACTCAGCAATCTTTTTCACCTTCTTTATCTGCAGACCTATTATCTGTCCTTCCTGGATAAGGAGAGGTAGAGGAAACTGTCCCGAGTACTGAGATGTACATGGGATGAGGCCTGCTTCTCTTACAGCCTCTTCCCTGAATCCATTTCCTAAATTGTATCAGGAAGGGTCTCCAAAATTCTCATTCTCTCCCTCCAGGAGTAGAACTATCATCTAACCGATTTTCTACGCTCGTCTTCTTTCCTACAGAAGTCTTATAAATCCTGTTTAGGCCAGTAGACAACAACTACAGTACTTGTTTATGTAGGGTCACTTAAACATGTTAGTTACATCTTATAAGAAAATTTCAAAGCTGGACACAATCTAAGTATTGTTCCTACTTTATACAGAAATCAAATTTAACTCATTCCCTGCAAAAAATAAATGTTTTAAATAAATAAATATAATTTTTGTTCTTAGTAATGATATACATTAAGCTGCTAACATGTAATGATAAGGCAAAATCGGATAAAGATCTCAGCAATCTACTAAATTTAGCATTATGTGTTATAAACACTTTAAAATTTCAGAAGTTTTTTGTAAGCTTGATAGTATGAGTTAGATATGAAGCTATTATATTTCTTTTCTCTGATTAAGAAATGTACTAATGAATTTTAAAGTAAATATGGTAATAATGTATTATACAGCATTATCTCTTTCAATAAGAAGATATTGGCCTTAACTACCACTTTACTGAGCCATAAAACCTAACTCTATGTGTTCATTCATTTTTTTGTTGGTTCACTGTTAAATCCCTAACACTCAAAACATTGCCTATCGGTTAAATGTGTAAATGAACAAACATTGACTATGTACCTCTTATAGGCCAGATACTGTACTAGGTTCAGGAATGCAGCAATAAACAAGACCCTGCTTTCATGGAAATTACAGTCTAGGAGAGACAACTACGTAAGTTAACTATTTAACCATAATTCTGATAAAAGCTATAAAGAAAAAGCATAAAGTATATGAAAATAAGACCTAATATTGCTTGAAAAATCAAAAGAGACTTTTCTGAGGAACAGATATTTAAGCTGGCACCTTCAAAAAGAGAATAGGATTTAGTAAAGGGAAGAGTAAAGAGAGAAACTATTCCACATAGGTGAAACAGGATGTGTGAAGATCCAGAGGAAGCTAGGTGTGTATTGTCTGTCTTCCAAGAACTGAAAACAGATCAGTGAGATTAAAGAGGAGAATTGTTAAAAATAAGGCTGGAGTGGAAGGCAGAGCTCAGATTATACAGGGATATTGTAAATTTTTAAAACTTCCTATTTTCTTGATGCCTCAACATTCCCACAAACAGGCTATGAACACTATGTCTGGGCAATCAGGTGCACCAGTGTGAGAAGGCTGGTTCCTGCCACAAGTTCCCCTTTTTGTTATTCTGAGTGTGATCTAGTGACATTCAAACACTCCAATGAAACACTCTCATGCTTTTTGCTTATATACTGTACCCTGACCACCAACAAAGGCCCTTGTCCATAGGTCCTTCCCCCGACCCTCTCTCTCTCTGCTCCCCACCTGCTTGGGTGAGCTCACTCCCTGGGAGTTCCTCCCACATGCCCCCTGCATGGCATGCCATACCTCCCTCTTCTAGGACCTGCCAATATAATAAATCTCCTTCATTTTCATATGCCTCTCCATGGTGTTATTATTACATGTCCACATCTGACCGATCATCAAAAAAACAAACAAACAAACAAAACCCAACCCATTTTAAGTAACATAATTATTCCTTACAACACAACAGGAGAAAGGGGATCAGGATATGTCACCTCAAAGTATGCCACTTTGGCATAAAGATTTTGAGCTGAAAGCAACTGAGAGTCAACAGATGTAAGAAGAGTTCTTTGCCGTCCCCTTAACTGCCTAAAAGCAGGGCATAAATTATGCTTTGTGAAGGTGTTCTCCATACTCTGTGGACCAGGAAGAGGAGTGACTTATCACCGGAGATGGAGAGTCAACACCGAGATGAGTTTGCACAAACAGACCTAACTAAAATAACCCTTATCCTCCATTAGTTCCCCCATGTATTTCCTAGTCACTTCCCCACAATTTATCTCTTAAAGTCCAAACCTCCTTTCCTTTATTAAAAGGGTATATAAACTCCTAATCTAATTACCTCTTTGAGTTTCACTTTTCTGTGAATACTTATGCATGTAAACATTAATAAAAATGGTGTCTTTTCTCCTGTTAATGTCATTTGTTAGTTTGATTCACAGACCCCCATTCATTGAATATAAGAGGGTAGAGGAAAAGTGGGTCATCCCCTACAAGGGCCTTGTAGGCTGTGTTAAGGATTTTGGACTTCATACTAAGAGCACCGAGAACCAAGGTGTGACAATCAGATTATAAGGAAAGTACAGTACTACAGGTGGGATATGATTTTGCCTTTGATTAGAGAAGTTGAAGTGGAGATGGAGAAGTGGGTGCATTCAAGATCTATTTAGGATATATATATTTCTGAACAGGGTGACTTGAGTATGGGAGATAAGAGAAGAGTTCCAAGGTGTGATATTGATATAACATAGATTTGGTCTTTGTCGTTGACTCCTGGCACAGAGCTCCTAAAACCCTTAGAAGGCAGCTATGCTCACCACTGTACCATCAACACACCTAAGACCCTTGGAATTTCCTAAGCAATAAGTGTGATGAGGCATCTTTTCTTATATTTGGTTTTTGTCCCTGGCTCCTGAAATAGCTCCAGAGCGATGAAGGTGAAAGTAGCATCTTGTGTCATTCCTAACAAGCCCCTTTCAAACACACCCCAGTTTATGTTAATGAGGTGACTTTTGGAAAGCCGTCAAGAATGAGGGTCTTGTTGCCAGGAAAACAAAAATATAGTTAAGAGGGTTGGAATTTTCAGGTCCATCTCCCAAGCCCCCTCAACCTCTGGGGAGGAGAGAGTGGGTAGAGACTGAGTTCAACCACCAATGGCTAATGACTTAATCAACCATGCCTATGTAATGACATCTTCATAAAAATCTTAACTGAAGTCCAGAGGGCTTATTGTTGGTAAGCATATCGAAGAGCCTGCAAGGTGGCACTCCCCGAGTGGGCAGGGAACTTCCACATCCCTCCCCACTGGCTTGCCCCATGCATCTCTTCCATTTGGCTGTTCCTGATTTGAATCCTTTATAAAAAACTGACATATGTACATAAACTGTTTCCCTGAGTTCTGTGAACAATTTTAGCAAATTATCAAACCTGAGGTGTCATGAGAAGCTCCAATTTGTAGTCAAGTAAGACCAAAGTTGTGGGCAGCCTGGAGACCTGCCACTTATGATTGGCATAGGAAGTGGGGGGCAGTCTGTGGAACTGGGCCCTTAATTTGTGGGGTCTGTGCTAACTCTGGGTAGTGTTGGAATTAAGGTAAATTATACAACACCCAGTTGGTGTCCACAGGGAATTAAAGAATTGCTTGGTGGGAAAAGCCCACACATTTGGTGTCAGAAGTATTGTAAGAATAAAGAAACAGCTTTTCTTGTTTTAATTTCCCCCCCCCCCCCCAGCACAACCAGAATACAGAAAGAGAAATAGTTTTTCCATTTACATGTGTTAGTAACTGGTAGAAAATGATTCCAACAAATTTCTAAATAATTATTAGAATTTAAGTGTAATTAACTCAATGAATAGGTTTCTGGGATGACCAACTAGGTGGATGACAGTGCCTTTTACTCAGATGGGGAAAAGTGAAGATCACACTTGTGGTAGGAATGGGAAATCAAAAGTTTGATTTAGAACACGTTTAAGAAAAGATGTCCACATTAGCTATATGACAGTGGAACTCATAGCAAGATTTGGGTAGAGATGTAAATTAGACAGTAGATAGCATTTCAAGCCATGGAAATAGATGACGTTGCCCTGGAAAACAGTGTGGAATGACAAGAAAAGGTGGCCTATGACTGAGTCCTAAAGAACTTCTACTTTTTAAAGTCAGGTGCATGAAGATGAGCCGAACAGAGAAGAACAGACTAGGAAGGTTGTTAAAAAAATAAGCAGAGCATAATGACATGAAAGCCAGAGGAAGAGACGGTTTCAAGGAGAGAGGCAGGGAGAGACAGAGAGAGAAAGAGAGAGAGAGAAAGCTATTGTTAAGAAAGTTGATGAGAATAAAGGAAAAAAAATAGCTGAAAAGCATTTATTAAGACTTTAACATGAACTTTGGTGGAGTGGTGAGGATGGAAGATTGAAGAGAATGGACTAAGGACAGAGCGGTTAGAAATTATCTATAAAGAGGAGAACAGATAAGGCAGAATCTAGAACAGGAGAGGAAGTCTAGGAATATTTTTTTAAGAAAGAAACCACAGAGAAAGGTGACCTAACGGATGCTATGCTGAGAAACCAACCTTCCTATTCATTGAGTTAGTTACACTTAAATTCTAATAATTACTCAAGAATTTGTTGGGATTGTAGACTACCAATTACTAACACTTGTTGAGCAAGCAGACATGAAGGCTATGCTTGGGAACAGTCGGGTGGAAGAAGGAAAGTGAGGAAAGAAACTCCTGTGAGAATGAAAAGAGCTTCTGGTGCTGAGAATCTTCACTGGCTATGCATAGACTCACCCGTAGCAGTCCAACCCAGGGAAAGCTTTGGGGACCTCGGAAGACACACCTCTATGGGGAGCATGCTGCATTGGCTCCTGCTTTATGTAACGTTTCTTAGTCCATTCAGGCTGATATAACAAAATACCATAAACTAGGTAGCTTACAATGAACATTTATTCCTCACAGTTCTGGAGGTTGGGAAGTCTAATATCAAGATGCCGGCAGATTTGGTTTTGGGTAAAGGCTTGCTTCCTCATAGAAAGTCATCTGTTCACTGTAACCTTAGCTGGTAGAAGGGGCAAGGGATTTCTTTGGGTCTTTTTTATAAAGGCACTAATCCCTTAACAGCCTAATTACCAATGCCTTAACGACCTAATCTTTTCCCAAAGGTCCCACCTCCTAATACTATCATCTTTGGGGTTAGCATTTCAACATATGAATTTTGGGGGAACATAAACATTCAGTCCATCGGTGTTTACACGGGTTCCTTCATCAATACAAAAACCTAACCCCCAAAACTGTATCCGTAGGGTTCTTTGCATCAAACACATCACCAACCAATTTTGATACAGCCACACACCAGAGGTTTCAAAGATGAAACAAAGAATCCAGTAGAGTGAGTGGGAATGGTTCAAAAATAGGAGAAAATGGGCATAATAAATGGAACGAAATCCCAGAGAATGCGGAGAGGACTGGGTTCAGAAGTCATGAGGAAGGACTGGCTTTCCAACATAATGGGGGAAAGGATGTATATGGGTAAAAACAAGTTTGTGGATATGGTGGTAGGAAGTTGGAGGAAAACCTGACATTATTTTCTTTGCGAATCATGACATAAGGTCTTCTACTAAGAGCAAAGAAAGCAGCAGGCAGGCTAAAGGTTAGAAAAGAGTGAAAGAATGTATAAACTGTTTTTCACAGTGAGTCAGCTGACAACACAAATGAAGTAGGATGGCTAGGGAGGCAGAGTCAGTGATCATGAACAGCAGTGCTTGGTTTTGTGTGTTTCAGGTCAGGGACCTACCAAACCTTTCCTAATTCCTTCCGCTGCATTAAATTCTTTCTTTATTTGAGCCTCTAAAGCATTTTGTTCATACCTTAAAACCTGCTTTCTACTAGAATCTTGCTTTATATTATTTCATTTACCTACCTAAATATAAAATCTCAGTGTAAACAATGGCTTATTCATTCTTGTATCCCTGAAAGCACTAAGCATGGTTCTTTGTGTGAAGTACTAGATTTTTTTTGCATTTAGTTATTAAATATATCATATAAAATGGCCCATTTAAAAATGTGGTTTCGAGATTGACTTCATACATTATATAATCAAGAAAGATGAAAGACTCAGAAATTAAAAGACAATTTTAAACCACAGTTAACCAAATTTATTTCTGCTAAAATAAGTATCCTATCCTGAAGGGCAGACATTTTTATCATCCTACTGCCTCAGAAACTAAAGGCAGCACAGTGGCTTGCACCTGTAATCCAAGCACTTTGGGAGGTCGAGGCAGGTGGATCACCTGAGGTCAGGAGTTCAAGGCCAACCTGGCAAACATGGCAAAATCCTGTCTCTACTTAAAAAAAAATACAAAAAAATTAGCCGGGCATGGTGGTGGGTGCCTGTAATCCCAGCTACTCAGGAGGCTGAGGCATGAGAATCGCTTTAACCTGGGAGAGGGAGGTTGCAGTGAGACAACATTGTGCCACCGCACTCCAGCCTGGGCGACAGAGTGAGACTCCATCTCACAAAAAAAAAAAAGGATGACCCAGAAACAAATCCCACAGCATAGAATATGAAGATCAATACTGAATAAACATCATCACCATTTAAAAGTCATATTCTCATTTGGTGATTTAGTTTAACATAGAATCAGATAGCTTTCTATTGTTTCAGAAGACATACAAAACTTTTTTTTTTTTTTTGAGACAAGAGTCTCGCTCTGTCACCCAGGCTGGAGTGCAGTGGCGCGATCTCGACTCACTGCAAGCTCCTCCTCCTGGGTTCATACCATTCTCCTGCATCAGCCTCCCAAGTAGCTGGGACTACAGGCACCCACCACCACGCCTGGCTAATTTTTTGTATTTTTAGTAGAGAACGGGGTTTCACTGTGTTAGCCAGGATGGTCTCCATCTCCTGACCTTGTGATCCGCCCGCCTCGGTCTCCCAAAGTGCTGGGATTACAGGCATGAGCCATCGTACCCCAGCCCAGAACTTTCTTTCTAGACATCTACTGCCATTATGAGAGTCCTACAGTTTAATATAATTATTTATTGTAATCATGGTTTATAGAAATCACATTTTTTATAGATTAAAAAACTTAAAACTAAAAAAGTACTAAGTTAAAAAAAACTCCACTAGGAGATTACTAAAACTGTAGGCCACATTCATCTTCCTACAATTCTTCACCCACAAAATAAAATCCAATTTAGGAGGCTCCATTAACTCTTTTAATATATTTCTAAATCTTAAATCTATATTTCAAAATGAACATGGTACTTCATATGGGCCCACTTTTCATAATTCTTTCAACTCAATGTTTTAGCCAAAACTGCAAACATTTGAAATTTAATTTTGAATAAAAATTACAGCTTATGCACCAAGATAACATTAGAAAGTGTCTTCAGACATTTTATCAGGTATTTTCCTCATTACACCCAACCAAACACAGAAAGAAATATATATTTTTGAAATGTCAATTACTGCTATGCTATCAAAAGCTGACATTTATTACAAATTTCTGAAATCCTTCATAAGCAAGTATTTGATTAAACAAAAATGGAAAATGTTACTAGGAGATATAGTTTATACCTGGCTGTTGAGTACATTAGTATCAGAGAAATTCATGTAACTATATTTAAACAGAACTTCAGTTTAGGGTCTTTTCAGACCACAATTATATAACTTGTTCAAAATCCCACTAGTTTCTTCTTAACAGTCTTGGTAAGAGATGAAACTGATATACTTCAGAGGCCATTTCCCTAGGAGTACTGCTTTTAAAAATCATGCAAAACAAAAGCCAAATAGTGATGTTATATTTTAACCCAGGCTGCAGCTATTTGTGTTGATCTGAAAGCTTACAAGTAAATCCACTGTTAGGAATGAGCACTGTAAAAGCTATCAGCTATCAGCGTGAACCCTTCCATGGTTTCCTTTGATCACATGACATCATTATGATTTCCTTCTCCTTGCGTAAGTGGGTAAAGGTCAAGAAATGCCTAGGCAAATATGAAGAGAAGTTATTTTGGCATAGAATCTCATTTTTTACTACCAGCTCCTAACGTTTTTCTCACAATATGCATACCTATTAGCAGGAGATTGGATTTTTATTTATAGGTCCACATAAAGCTTCAAGGAAATAACCAGCATTAGTACCTCCTCACCTGAAAAAGGCTTAAGTAAACACTAATTAAAACATTTAGGATCTTAGTTGTATCAATACTTCTGTACCTGAAAGCTCTTTTAAATGTAAGGGTTTTCTTTTTATTGTTTTATTTACCTAGGATTCTAAGAAACTGAGAAGTCATAGCTTTCCCTTAAATTATACATCATACATACATTGTAAGAATATAGAAAATTAAATAAATCAAATAATTAAATATTAAGTTAAATGCATGACTACATATATTAAATTTGGAAATTCAAAGCATTAATAGAACAGAGAAACCAGCTAAAACAAATTGTAGCTTTTAAAATAAACAATAAAGCCCGTTATTTATTATCTAAAAGCCAGTAAATACATTTACTTCTTTGGTACCCATTAAAATAGTTGCATTTGCAGAGGATGTTTAGGGCAGCGAAACTATACTATATTATAATGATGCATACATATCATCATATATTTGTCCTCTAGCATGTATAACACCAAGAGGGGACTCTAATGTAAACCATGAACTTTGGATGATAATGATGTTTCAGAGTAGGTTCATTGATTGTAACAAATGTACCATTGTGGTGCAGGATACTGATAGCCTGGGAGGCTGTTGAGGGCTTTGTCAGGGGAGAAAGGAAATCTCTATCTTCCTCTCAATTTTTCTGTTAACCTACAACTGCTCTAAAAAAAAAAGTCTATTTTTAAAAACAATTTTTAAAAGTTGTATTCGTCTCAGATTCAAAATATTATCACACAGGTGATTTATCTTAAAAATCCATGTGAGTACTGACCTATATGTCATTTTTTGCAAATCTAAAACAAAAATATTTCAAAATGTTCAGTGGCAGAGAGTACTGGTACCACAAAATCAGAGCAGTAGAAGCAAAGGGGATATAAGATGTGGACATTTTGTAGCTTGAGGAGATGGCACCTAGGGAAAAGAGAATTAAGTGTTTATTTGGGAAAATGTTAATGATATACACAGAACATAGGAGCTGGAATAAAGAAGGCATGCTTAGGTTATAGCAAGGTATACTCCTGGCCTAAAATATCACCATCTTTCTCTGCATGCCTGGGACAAAGTAAGAATGGGGGCAGAAAAAAAGGGAAGACTGAGAACACAGAGCACTTAGTCTACTTATTAGCAAAAATAAAGTGAGATTTTCTAAAATCAGGTATAATGTCATCTGCCTCTCCAAAAAACTGTTCTTTTTGGCCACAGTTCTTATGGTCAATTAAGCTGAAATTATTTCCAAATACTGAGTTCTAATAAGTACTGGAAAGAAAACTGCAATAGAAAATATTTGTTACACAGTATAATCAGGTATGGTTATGAAAAAAATGAGAAAATACTCAAACACGGTAAATTATAGAATAATCTAAATTTTAAAAACTAAAAACGAAGTGATTATCATAAAATACTGAATTTTCTATTTAAGCTCATTTAATTCTGTGAATTAGGATGGACCATATGGATGATACTCTTATTTTAACTCCAAATAAAACAAATAGTAAAATATTTGAGGGAAGAAAACAGCAAAGTATGTATATTCTGGGTTTCCAATTAAACTTCAACCTTCTGGTGTTTTCAATTATTCCTGCCAAAATGTAGTTTTCTATTTCTGAAGTTTTTTGGAGATAAGTAGCTTACAAAGGGATAATGTGATGTCTTATGGGTAAAAAAATTATAAAACACAGGGCACAAACTTTCTCCAAATATAGAAAATAGTTGAAATGGTTCAATTCATTTTTACCGGGAGAAAATACATAGCAAGAGGTAAACAGTGGAGCCAAGACCTAATCAATAATGCCTAGCACTGAAATAATGGTAAAGTCTTCTAAATGCCAATAGTACTAACAGAGACTTGATATACCAGGTTTTGAATATCTAAGTAAAGCTTAAAATACAAAAGCGAAAACATAATATAGAAAGAACTATCTATGGTTGATATTCTCACAGACTTTATAATTTATTTAGTCATCCTAATAATACTTTGATTTTACTGTCTGTGTCTCTTGTTGCAGTTTTAAAACATTTCCTTTACTTTGGATATCTGATAAAATTCATTACATTTTCTTATCAAATTTTCTATCAGATACATTATATACCATAATTATAGCCCCCATAAATTGACAAATTTGTTGATTTGCCTCTTCTCATTGGTAGCAAATTGAAATCATAAGTCTTCTAAAAGAATGTCAAGTTCTTCACCAAATTAATGTGTGAAGTCTTCAAGATGGATTTAATTTGTGCCACCTGATAACAACCTTTTCTGGATTTATTACTGTCTCTTTCCACTGGTTCACTGCTTCAATGTTATTACTGTCTTCACTTATCCAAATCTGTAAAGGAAAGTATGTACAATCATTTAACTTGACACAATAATAATAACTACATTCAGACAGTTAGTTACTCTTACTGATGGAAGAAATTTGGAAGTTTGCTTTACATATTTTAAATTAAACATCTTTCTTTTTTCCAAAAGTCAGATTGATTTCTCTATTTGACATTTAAATGCTAAAACATTTAACCTGCTTAGTCATTCTGAAGACTAGTTTATAAGGTTCAGTTCAAAAATTCAAGGTGAAATATTACAAAATCATTTCCCCTAGAACAGTTATTAGTATCCTTTCCTATTCAACAAATCTAGGAGCTCAACTTAAAACTGATCCCAACCACTCAAAAATATTTTTGTAAGGATAATTAAACTGAGGCTAATCATGATTCAAATTAGATTGGTAAGGAATGTGCATTTTAAATCACCTTTTACAAGAAATAAAGTGTAATCTTAATTAAAATCTAATAGTCATTCTTGATCAATAGTAATTTCATAGTACCCATCACTTATGTAACTTAAATACTACATGTGAATGTATACATAGTATTATGCAAATTGTACAAAAGACATCACAATAATTATATTATTATGAAGACAAGGAATAAAAAAACTTGAATTTTCATCTTACCTCTAGCACTAACAAATGCTTTTACCTTGAAGTTAACTTCTCTGAGATTCAGTTTCTAAGAGATTGGAGCAGGTCATTGGTTTCAACCTTTTTCCTTTTCTTTCTTGGTCTAAAGAACCTTCCTTTCAAATGAAATCTTACAAATAATCCCAGTATGTAAAACAGACATTAGAGTACTTTCGTTGATACAGGGGTGGAAGACCTTGAGTTCCCCTTTGGCTACCCCATCATAGTTCCTCCTAAGGCTATACCAGATAAGCCATACGGAGCAGATGACCAGCAAGAACCTTTCCAGAATTATTATTCTAACTAGAATCTTAGCCAAGAGAATGGAATCACCACAAATGTTATCATGAAAATCATCTCAAGTAAATTTCCTATTCCATTCATACCGTTAAGTTGAGGCTCGATGATATACGAAAACTTTAACTGAATTGACTTCATAAAGGCTTAATGGTCTTCAAAATTATGCTGGTTATATGAATTCTTAAATTCAAGCTCTTTTCCAAATAATAAATGATAAAACAACATTTTAATTAGTATTTTACGTAAAAATATATATTAAAAAGTAAATCAAGGAGCTGATATCAATGTTTGAAAATTCATATATAATTTGAGGATTTCATGTAGACTGTTAATAATATCTTGTCAAGTTGAAGCTTTTAAACCAATAATATAGATTTTGGAATTTAAATGTGGTTCAAACAATCGTAATTAAGGTAAAAGATAATGGACAGCTACCACTAGTCTATTCAGAGTAAGGAAAGGAAACAAGTTCCTAGAGGACTGGCAAGTTAACAAGTGTTATGTTGTTTTATACAAATTGTACCAAGATTTTAAAATAATCCAGACAGTAGTATTAACTAAATAATATCACAACCACTGTTAAAATGGACATGTTCTAGGAATTCAAAACTAACTCAGGTAAGAGAATATAAAAAGTGCCCATGTTAAACATTAAATCAAAGATTAAACAAAATAAATTTGATACTCGAAGACTTAAGAAATTGATTTAAATACTTAATGTTCCCTCCTTCCACAAGGAACAAGTCAGTAGTACTGAAAAATTGATAATTCTCATCGTTTTTGAAGTAAAAAAGCTCAGAAAAAAACATATTTAAAGATAAACCTGATTGCTCAGAAATTCCAACTATTTGTATTAAAGCAAAAAGTCTGACAAGTTTCGATTTTTGTAGCAATTGAATTTTGATTTATGATGCTGAAGAACTGTACTCTATTTGACTTTAATATTATCCTGTATTCCCTTTGTTAACTGACTGTTTAAATGCATAGAAAAATATAAGGAAGGATAAAAACTCCTACTAACCTGGCCCACAAAGTGTTTTCTTCTTACAGAGCTTCGACTGTAAAGCTTAATGAGAAAAACAATTTCTTTTTCACTCTGTATAAGTGGAAAAATCATAGTCTCTCCCCACTTGACTCTTCCATTGGAGGCCTTCAGTAAGCGTGTCTTTTTCTTATAAATCAACTCTCCCGAGCTAAACATTCCCACCTTCACGAAAAAACCTAAAAAATTAGAAATATTGGTTTATAAAATGTTATTCAAAATACCATATAAAGATGTGTATATACACATCCAAGTTGGAATATATATATATAACATTTATTGTAAAAAATATAGATAAGTCACTTTTAAATGTTTGATGAGCTACGACCATAACAGAAAACAGTTCTAATCAACTTTATAACTTTGGCCATACTTTACTACTGTAACTTTAAATGAACTTAATCTTTCTGTGGCTGAATGCCATTAAAGACTGGAAATGGAGGCATAAACAACAATCACAGTAAAAGAGTGCACACTGAAAAGGATCACACTAAAGAGAGGTACCAATCTTTTGGACAGCTGGAGGTATTTATTTCACAATTATATAGGTAAAATATAAAAGACTCCAGGAGTTAAGTATATGCCCACTAGATAAAATCTGTACTTTAAATTTGAGATGTATAGAGCTTCCAGTAATGGCAGAATAGCTTGTATAAACTAACCTTCCCATAAACAACTATTATAAACTTTGGAAAAAAATTTTAAAACACTAAAAGCAGAAAGAAACTGGAGGGAAGTCAACTGGTAAAAGACGGGAACTTCACTGGGTAAAATTCAGGTTGATATAGCTTTTCACCTAAGCATACTCCCCTATCTGACTGACACACAGTGCCTACAGCTCAAGCAGAAAGTACAGTCTGACTAATTGGAGGTGACAGAGCTGGGGTGCCAGGGAAGCAAGAAAGTGAGAACTCCCAGAAAGGTGGGAGCCACAGTGAGGGCTGAGATCCGACCGTCAGATTGATAGAATGAAGAGTTGTGGTCATCCTGATAAGCTGTTTTAAGGGAAGCCCGTCATAAACAGCATCTGTTGTCCTTGTTTCCTAGAATTAATTATATATAGTTCTGATGATTTATTCCAAGTTAGGTTTTATTTGCTCATTTTTCTTTTAGGATTCTCCATCTATCTACACAGGTGACATTAGTCTATAATTACTTTTTGTGTGTGCTATCCATTCTGTTTTAGTATCAAGAATATGCTGACCTCACAAAATTACTTTTTCCATCTTCTTTTCATGCTTTGGAACAGCTTATATACAACAGAAATTACATGTTCCTTGAAAATTTGGTAGAATCTCCCAGTACAATTACCTTGGTCTAGTGCTTTTATTAGAGGCAGTTCTTTAACTACCTTTTCATGCTTATTCTTTTATTCGGATTTTCTTCCTCTTCTTAAGATTCTACTTTCAACTGCTGAATTTCTCAGAAAGTCATTTATTTTACATAGATACCCAAATAAATCGGTATAGCTATATATGGTATTGCTTTATACATGATAGAATCTCTTCTGAATTTGAAATTATATCCTCTTCATTGCTCAGAATATCATTCATGTTTTCTCTATTTTTTCACTTGATCTCACCTTCTATAGATGTGTCTATTTTAATGATTCTTTCAAAGAAGCAGCTTTTAGTTTTATTGATTATGCCTTTTGTGGTTGTCTCCATATCTGTCACCTTCAACTTTAGCTTTAATACCTTACTCTAATTTCTTTGGGTTTGTTGTTTTTCTAGCTTCTTGAATTGAATGCTCAGTTTCATTTATTTTTAGTCTTTCTAGTTACGGTGAACATGCATTGCTTTTGCCTGCCCCCATACAGTTCCCTTCTTTTAGTAGGGAAAAGGGGCACTTCTGCCCACTCAAATCTCTGGGACTAGACAACCAAAGTATCACAACTCCTGGTTGTAGACAAAACACAGGGAGAGAAAAGTGTTTCTAGGTTTGTTTTTGATATATATATTTTTTACAATTAAGTTTCTAGTTAGCAGGGCATTCCACAAAGGGCACAGACCTAGAGAGAGGATAAATCATTTCAGGTGGTAAAATATAACTGAAAATCCTCTAGACATTCAACCTGTATGAACTGATGAGCTAAATAAAAAACAGTATCAAAGGCAGAGAGGTCATAACTGGATAACACTCAAGAGACCACTGTATTAAGGTAGACACAATGGCTAAAATTTGAAATCTTATAATTTTAAATTTAAAGTAAATAAGTTAAATAATAAAAGTTACTAAGATTTTAATCTCCATTGTAAGAAATGTAAAAAAAATACTTTCTATTACTAATACTTTCTGAAGATTCTACTTTGAACCACTGATATACTTACTCAAAGTCAGAGGTGTTGATGAGCTTGGAAGGTACCGTGCCTCAAGAATTTGTAACTGAATTCTGCTATTTACTGCTTGAAAACAAGTCCCCAATTCAAGTTCTGCATGGCAAACCTGCATATCAAAAAAGTGTCATTTGGTAGTTAAGAATAAAGTTTTTGAAACAATTCAAAAATTAAAAGATAAAAAGCTAAGGTTAGAAATTTTGAAAGTATTCCTTTCAAATGATATTCAAAACTATAAGTTACAAGACAAAGTTATGAAGATAAATATCATGAATTCTTTAAAGTACTCATTTGCATGGTTTCTGAAAATACAGGTTATATCTATGTACTGAAACTTCAAAATCTGTGACACCTAGAGCCAATTCAAATTAAAAGCAAATTAAATTAATAAGCAGTATCACTGAAGAAAATGCCAGTGAAATTAACACAAAAGGAATACACTTTCAAAACAACTAAATGTAGTCAAATTATTTTTAGAGAACACACGAAATATGATTAAAAAGTTACATATGAAAATCATCATTATTTTCTAATTATGGAGATCAGAGTAGGTGCTACCACAATCAGAAGACAGCAATAAACAGATCTGTGGATTAAGAGTGAATTACTATGCTGAATGGAAGCAAGCTAAAGAAAGCTGGCAAGAAGGAAGCTAGTCAAAGTGATGAGGCAGTAAATAATAAGGAAAAGGTCAAAGAAAACCTGAGGCAAACGGCAAAATGAAGGAGACTTAGAGAAGAGGAAAAATTAAAATGTGTTCTTCAGTACTGCTGACCAACAGCAGAAGAAAGTTGGTTATTTGTCTGTGAAATACAACACAAGCCAGACTACTTAGGTGGATTCCAAGGTCCTTGGACTGAAAAATAAAAGGGAGAATGGTTGTCCAAACACAAAAACACTATTGTTTACATGTTGAAAAGAGTAAGAATAGGAATAAAGTAGGAACATAATGTTCACAGATCATACTAGGGCTCAGCATAGACAGACACAAAGTCTTTGTTAGTACTGATTCCAATAAAGTTACAGAACAACTGAATGACACTTGATGAAGACATTTATATTTGACATTGCTCAGTATTCCCCAATAACTGGCTCATAGCTCATTGGGAAAAACAACAACAACAAAAAAACAACAAAAACTCCAACCTCTCCATATACATAACATTGACAGAAGCTTGGTGTTTTCTTAAAATATGATTCTGTATTTCAAACCAGTCATGCCATAAGAAATGAAGAGATAGAAAAGGAAAAGTGAATTGCTTAACAAGTACAAACTCAACTGTTGGAATTTAATTTCCCCTTGAAAAGGTCTAAATTGATGATAAAACTTGTTATTTGGCAACAAATGCTGACTTCTAATAAATAAGTTAATTTATTGCTTTTGACTGTAATCAGAATGAGAATGAACTAACAACTTTTCACATGAACTAATTTGGTAGCCATAAAAAAAAAACCTTTGCTGATTGAAAAAAAATTGCTGTCCTTGGCATTTAAAAAATATATTTTAAAAGATAGAGTCATACTGTTTATAAAACACAAGGGAAATCATGGTTAAATTTTTTTATTATTTTTTATTACAGTTTTGTACCCACAATGTAATAACACTTATGAAAACACGTAAAGGTGGCAAAACGTCTCTTATTGTTACACAATTGTAGAGTTCACTCTCATAAAACAGAGCAGCATTTGGCAATAGGCTTACCATTTCCCACTTGCCAAGGTTATTTCACAAATTCAATTCATGTTCCAGGACATTAATTCAGATCATGAAAAACTGTTCAAAGAGTTAAACTATTGGCCAGGTGCGGTGGCTCACGCATGTAATCCCAGCACTTTGGGAGGCCGAGGCAGGCGGATCACGAGGTCAGATCGAGACCACCCTGGCTAACACGGTGAAACCCTGTCTCTACTAAAAAAAAAAAAAGAAGAAGAAAAAGAAAAAATTAGCCACCCGTGGTGGCTGATACCTGTAGTCCCAGCTACTTAGGAGGCTGAGGCAGGAGAATGGAGTGAACCCAGGAGGCGGAGCTTGCAGTGAGCCGAGATTGCACCACTGCACTCCAGCCTGGGCGACAGAGAGAGACTCCATCTCAAAAACAAAAAACAAAAAAAAAAAACAGAGCAGCATTTGGCAATAGGCTTACCATTTCCTACTTGCCAAGGTTATTTCACAAATTCAATTCATGTTCCAGGACATTAATTCAGATCATGAAAAACTATTCAAAGATTTAAACTATTTAAATCTCATAATAACCAAAAAATTAAAATTCCAATCAATTAGCAGTTATGTATTGCCTGCATTTAATAAGCACAAAACTGCTCCTGAATAATGTATCCTTTTATTCAGAAAAGAAAACATTGTTAGCCTTCCTGGAAGGGTTGAAATGAAATGCTGAGCATCATTAGAGAACATCACGATCTGGTGATGTTTGAGAATATCTTCTTAGCGGGGCAATACATGGTAGAGTTAAAAGAGCTGGGTTTGGAATCAGACTGCCTCCATTCAAATCCTGACTCCCCAACTACTGGCTGTATAACCTCAGGCAAGTGTTCCCCTGATCTCCACAAAACGGATAAAGAACAACACGGTGATAATTAGATCATTAGATCACGTAGCATTGAGGCAGCCGTAAGATAAATCTCTGTAAATGCTAGCTATTTCTTCAGGAAAACGTATTTCTTCCACATTATTCAATACCGAAATTTGAGATGTGAAGTAATTATTTACATTACTATTTGTCAAGGTCAAGGACTCTTTATTGAGTAAAAACCCGAAAGTTGTGCTGTTCATGGTGAAACAGTTGTCAGTGTGGATGGGAAAGTACGGCTCTTTAGACATCACTATTAGAATATTTATTTTCCTCTTCAACACATTAAAACAAAGCATACTATTATTGCTTTAGCCAATAATATGAAACATTCACACTTATTAACATAAACTCACTGGTCCAGCATAGCCCAAACACTCTTCTTTCAGGTTATCAATCTATAACCCTAGCACCTGGCATTCAGAAAATACACAAATATTTATAAAATCTCTGATACATGAAATATGATTTAGTAGAAATTTAGCCATAATTATTCATTCATATTTTCCAACGCAGATAATAATATCTTAATTCCCCAGAAAATCCCTGAGTTCTCTTCTTATATACTCTGTTTTTAAAGTTTTAATATATGAATTATCTATTTGAATAGTCTATTTGTGCCTTCTGTAAACTATGGCTGCAGATTACTACCTACTAAGCTAGTGTCAAAAATGCCAGTGACAAACTCCTGTCATAGTTACAGAACAGCACATTGGGGGTTGAGATAAAGAATAATAGGCAAGGCTGGGCGCAGTGGCTCATGCCTGCAATCCCAGCAAATTTGGGAGGCCGAGGCAGGAGGACTGTTTGAACTGAGGAGTTTGATACCAGAAAGGGCAATATAGCAAGACCCCTTATCTCTACTAAAAATTTAAAAAATTAGCTGGGCATGGTGGTGTGCCTGTAGTCCTAGCTACTCAGGAGGCTGACATGGGAGGATTGCTTGGTCGGGGAGATGGAGGAGGTAGTGAGCTGTGATTGCGTACCATACTCCATGCTGGGCTACAGAGCTTTCTGTCTTCCTCAAAAAAAAGGGGAAGGGAAGGGAGGGGAAGGGAAGGGAAGGGAAAGGAGGGGAGGGGAGGGGAGGGGAGGGGAGAAGAGGGGAGGGGAGGGAAGGGAAGGGAAGGGTAGATACATGTTTCTGCCCCATATCCCCCAAAATTCTAATTTTTTTTAGTTTATGTATGGGCATTTTTTTAAAGCTCCCAGATGATTCTAATGTATACCCAGAGTTAAGAAGCACTTCCAGTCACCTTAAATATTTTTGGAAACAGGTAAAATATAAATCCCATACAAATTTAAAACCGCATATAGGTTTGACCTTACAAAAGCTTAAGACTGATTTTTATAAACATTATCCTAACATTCAATCTATACAATTTAATTAGAAATTCCTAAACAATTTAAAAACAGTGTTCAGTTGGCTGAGAAGCAAATAGCAAGTCCCAATCAGCACCATTAGGTAATAAAGCTTTTTACAGAAAAAAAAAATCAGCTGTAAAAACTTCTAATCAATTTATGAGCTGCTGTATAGCTTACTCATGGTTAAAACAACTTTCCTAATCTATTTCAGGGCAATCTCTGATTGAGTGTGGAATTTATGATTCTTTCTTGTTTTTCCTAAGTTATCAGCTACCTAAAAAAACTTAAAAAAAAAAAGGTTATTCATACTTCAGAGTTATTTCCCTTGAAGTATAAAACATTAATAAGAAATGTGCCAGGAGAGGCCAGGCGCAGTGGCTCACGCCTGTAATCCCAGCACTTTGGGAGACCGAGGCGGGCAGATCACGAGGTCAGGAGATCGAGACCATCCTGGCTAACACAGTGAAACCCCGTCTCTACTAAAAATACAAAAAAAAATTAGCCAGGCATGGTGGTGGGCGCCTGTAGTCCCAGCTACTCGGGAGGCTCAGGCGGGAGAATGGCGTGAACCCAGGAGGCGGAGCTTGCAGTGAGCCGAGATCGCACCACTGCACTCCAGCCTGGGCGACAGAGCGAGACTCCATCTCAAAGAAAAAAAGAAAAAAGAAATGTGCTAGGAGAAGGTAACCCTGAGGTTATTTTCCAATGGAGAAAGAAAACAGTTCTGTTAACATTTTATCAATAATTTCTAAATATTTGAAAATAATATTATTGCTACTTGAGAGCCTTCCAGATCCTCTAATATTCTATTCAGGCTATTCTCTAACAAACAAAAGCCCATCCACCAACTAATTCTAAAAGTATGAAATACTCTTAACATACTATTATCGCTTACAGAAATTTTTGAAGGTGGTGTTATATCCAAAGAGTAATCCATTTCCTGTGTGCTAAGGGTTCTGAGTGACATTGAGCATTCTCCAATGGTTTTCTTCCTGGGAGTCTGGGTTTGAATCTTAAATACAAGTCTTACAGTTTGTAGATTTTGAAGTTTAATAGCAAATACAAACGTTTCCATAAATTCAATAGCCTTAAAAAAAAAACAAGAAAACATAAAATATATAAATAAAAGGCTTATATGCCAATACAAAATAATATTTTATTTTATATTTAGGAAAGGTATATTCAATTCTTTTTACAACAAAACATCTTTTTAATGTGAATGAAAATAAGAATGGCAATGACTTGTTTTTCTAGAGTTTATCCTGGGTTCTACCTTTCTTAATTTCACAAATCATCCTTTAAATTATTTAGGAATTCAGGTCATATTAACACCATGCTCACCACAATACAGCTTTTTCCCTTTTTGAAAATTAATTGTTTTTCCATCTTTGGTTCTGGCATCTTTCCTGTTATCAATACCATTCTTCAACAGTTCAGGAGAGTGGTGCAAGAATCTCATATGCAAGCACTCTCTTGTTCATAGTATCTAACTTGTTCACATAAAGAGACTTGAATTGTTTCTTTAAAGGAGTTATTTTTTGTCTAAAGAATCTTCCCATCTATCTCAGGCTTCAATTTCTCTTTTGGTGACATTTATTCCACCCTTTCCGATCTGAAAATCTAACTCCTTGATAGAGAAGACAAAGGAAAATATGAATTTAAAATTATATCTTCTCTCCTAAGCACCCATCTCAGTCAGCAAGTCACTGTTTTCTAGCCTCAGAACATTTTTAAATGCTCTTGTTACTTTTAATATTTTTAAATCGTTGGCTTACTATGGGCTAACATATTCTTGACACTAGACGGTTCTTTGCCATACACTTCCTTCTTTCCATCTTTAATGCATCCATTTAGAAAGGAGCTTTTATTCCTTTTGAAAAGGCAAGATATCTGGGCAACTAGCATAAATATTTTGAATACAGGCATACCTCATTTTACTGTACTTTGCTTTAATGTGCTTCATAGACATTACATTTTTTAAAAATTGAAGGTTCGTGGCAACACTGTGTTGAATAAGTCTATCAGTGTCGTTTTTCCACCAGCATGTGCTCACTTCATGTCTCTGTCACATTTTGGTAATTCTCATAATAGTTCAAACTTTTTCATTATTATTATATCTGTTACGGTGACCTGTGATCAGTGATCTTTGATATTACTATTGTAATTGTTTTGGAGTGCCACGAACCACACCTATATAAGATGGGCAACTTAATCGATAAATATGTGTGTTCTGACGGCTCTGGCAACCAGCTGTTCCATCTCTCTCCCTCTCCTCAGGCCTCCCTGTTTCCTAAGACACAACAATATTGAAATTAGGCCAATTAATAACCCTAAAATGCCCTCTAAGTGTTCAAGGGAAAGGAACAAACGTACATCTCCGACTTTAAATCAAAAGCTAGAAATGACTAAGCTTAGTGAGGAAGCTATGCTGAAAGCCGAGACAGACCAAAAGCTAGGCCTTTTATACCACTTAGTCAAGTTGTGAATGCAAAGGAAAAATTATTGAAGGAAATTAAACATGCTACTCCAGTGAATATACAAATAAGAAAGTGAAACAGCCTTATTGCTGATGTGGAGAGAGTTTTATTTGTCTGGAGAGAAAATCAAATCAGCCACAACATTCCCTTAAGCCAAAACCTAATCCAGAGCAAGGTCCTAACTCTCTTCAATTCTATGAAGCCTGAGAGAAGTGAAGAAGCTGAAGAAGAAAAACTAAAAGCTAGTAGAGGCTGGTTCACGAGGTTTAAGGAAAGAAACAGTCTCCAAAACATAAAAGTGCAAGGTGAAGCAGCAAGTGCTAATGTAGAAGTTGCAGCAAGTTATCCAGAAGATCTAGTTAAGAAGGTGGCTACATTCAACAACAGATTTTCAATGTAGACAAAAGAGCCTTCTGTTGGAAGAAGATGCCATGTAGGACTTTCACAGTTATGGAGGAGAAGTCAATGCCTGACTTCAAGGCTTCAAAGGACTAGGCTGACTCTCTTGTTAGGGGCTAATGCAATCAGTCACTCTGAGTTGAAGCCAACACTCACTTACCGTTTTGAAAATCCTAGGGCCCTTAAGTATTATACTAAATTAACTATGCCTGTGCTCTATAAAGGGAACAACAAAGCCTGGATAACAGCATATCTGTTTACAGCATGGTTTACTAAATATTTTAAGTCTACTATTGAGATCTACTGCTCAAAAAAAAAAAGATTCCTTTCAAAACATTATTTCTCATTGACAATGCACTTCGTCACCCAAGAGCCCTGACAGAGATGTATACAGAGATGAATGTTATTTTCATGTCTGCAAACACATCCATTCTGCATCCCATGGATCAGGGAGTAATTTCAACTTTCAAGTGTTATTACTTAAAAACTAAATTTTGTAAGGCTATCACTGCCATAGATAGTGATTCCTCTGATGGACCTGGGCAAAAGCAATTGAAAACTTTTTAGAAAGGATTCAGGATTTTAGATGCCATTAAGAAAATTCATGATGCATGAAAGGTCAAAAAAAGGACATTAGCAGGAATCTGGAAGAAGTTTATTCTAATCCTCATGGCTGACTTTGAGGGATTCAAAATTTCGGCAGAGGAAGTAATTGCAGATGTGGTGGAAACAGCAAGAGAACTAGAATTAGAAGTGGATCCTGAAGATGCAATTGAATGGCTGCCATCTCATGATACAATATGAACAGATAAGGAGTTGATTCTCACACATGAGCAAAGAAAGTAGTTTCTGGAGATGGAATCTACTCCTGGTGAAGATGCTGTGAACGTTGTTGAAATGAATTCAGAGGATTCAGAATATTACATAAACTTAGCTGAAAAGCAACAGCAGGGTTTGAGAGGATGGAATCCAATTTTGAAAGAAGTTCTACTGTGGATAAAATGCTATCAAACAGCATCACATACTACAGGGAACTTTTTTGTGAAAGGAAGAGTCAATAGATGTGGCCAACTTCACTGTTGTCTTATTTTAAGAAATTGCCACAGCCACTTCAACCTTCACTAACCACCACCCTGATCATTCAGCAACCATCAACATCAAGGCAAAACCTTCCAACAGCAAAAAAATTACAACTTGCTGAAGACTCAGATGATCATTAACATTTTTTAGAAATAAAGTATTTTAAATTAAAGTATGTAAATTACTTTTTTTAGACATAATGCTATTGCACACTTAATGGACTACAGTATAAAGATAACTTTTGTATGCACTGGGAAACCAAAAAACTCATGTGACCTGCTTTATTGCAATGTTCATTTTAGTGTGGCAGTCTGGAACTGAACCTACAGTATCTCCGAAGTATGCCTATACTGTGCCCAAACTGTTACTCTTGTTGTAATAGCTTATGTCTGTCTGTACAGCCAGAACTGTCTTTCTGAGGGTCTCACAACTACTGAGCTATCTTTTTCTTTTAGAGTCTCAAGTCATAGAATCACACCAATTATATATTACACACAAAATGTTTAATGAGCTTACAAATTATGCAAGTGTGATGCTTCATTTCACACTTTCTGTATTTTGCCAAATAGGAGTCTCCCAAACAAATTTATATATAATAATAAAATTGTAAAATGAAAGATTCCATACAAGTTTTAATATGGGAACATTTTTCCTAACTTTTCCTAAGTTAAATTAGCTTTATTTGAAAATCAAAAAGTAAAATTGTTTAATTCAGAAAGTATTCATCTATGAGTGTCAAGGTTATAATGAGTTAAGGTTTATTTCTAGCTAGACTTTCAATGATACATATTTTCATAAAGTAAGATCCCAATATATATATACATATATACATATACACATACATACATATATACACATTCATACACATATACACATACACACACAACCCAATTTTGATCATTGTCTTTTTCATTTATTAAAAATGTTTTTCCAGCTCCTTAAAAACTCTTCCTAAACATTAGTTTTCATAGTTACCTAGTTTTCTATCACATGGTGTTATGGGATGAATTACACCCCCCTAAAAAAGATATGTTGAAGTCCTGAGCCCCAGCATCTCAGAATGTGAACTCATTTGGAAACAGGGTCACTGTAGATGTGATCAGTGAAGTTAAGAAAAGGTAATACTGACATAGGGTGGACCCCTAATGACTGGTATCCTTTAAGAAGATGGCCATGTGAATACACAGAACACAGGTATAATGCCATGTGAAGACAGAAGCAGAGACTGGAGTGATCTACAAGCCAGGGAATGTCAAGGATTGCTGGCCATCACAGTAGCTGGAAGAGAGGCATAGAACAGATTCTCCCTCAGAGAAGGAATCAACACTGCTGACATTTTAATTTTGGACTTTCTCCAAAGCTGCAAGAGAGAAAATTCTGTTGCTGTAAGTCACCCAGTTTGTGGTACAGTACTGTTATGGTAGCCCTAGGAAACTAATACACATAGGTACACCATTAGGTTTTTCAACCATTCCTCTGTATGACACATTTGAAGTTTTTTCAATTTTTCTTCAAACAAAACTTCCAAGAGTATTTTATATATTTTTGTATTTTAGATTATTTCCACAGAAATAATTTCCAGTTTCAAAGTAGAATTACTGTTTAAAAGTATAAATATTTTAAGGTTTTGACATGTAGTGTCAAGATAATTTCTAAGAAGTTGTATGTTCTAGAATACCTGTAAAAGTTTTCCTAATTCTAAGAAGAAAGCAAAGAAAGAAAGAGGAAGAAAGAAACAGAAAGCAATACACGCAATTTAAATTTGTATTTCTATGATTAATAGTGAGAAGAAACTTTTTATATGTTTATTAGTCATTTGAATGATATTATTTTAAAATGATGTCTTTTAGAAGATATCTTTTCATTTGCATAGAAAAACAATAATCTTTTAACCTATAAAAAGTGACAGAAATGAAGATGTATTTAAATTAATGTAAAATCTAGGATCTACAAAACCAAACTCAGGATCATAAGTCTTTCTGTTATACTAATTGGAAATATTTAAAAGAAATTCATTGCAATCATGAATTTATTTTTCAAAGCCAAAGTGGGTTGGGGGAAAGAGAAGCCAAGATTTATTTCCTTTCACACAAGAAAAGTAAACAGGTTTCTTAGATATTGTTAATCTTCTATATATTTTAGTGAATAAGATATTCTTTTTAAATGCATCTTAATACTAGACAATGAAATATCAAATATTTTTCAGACTCAAAGTTGCCTTGAAAAAGCAATAATACATAGTTGTAGTTTCCCTAAGATAAAAGACTTTCTTATTCTGACTTGTTTACATGGGTAAAAGTGACAAATATAAAAAAAAAAAAAACAGAAAAGAAATTCAAATACAAACAGCCACTTACGTTGGAACCTTCCTTGGCTGAAGATTTGAAATGCACTGGTTTGGGCAATGTAAGTATTCCTTTTATAGAAACAGTAGGAGTGTCTCCATAACTAGAGGGCCAACTTAAATCTCTGCACTAAAAAAATTAAAAATACAGTTTGAATTTTACAAAGGATCCAACAATACAAACATTTGATGTATTTCTTGAGGTACTGACTTTAGATAAAAACTGCAAAAAATAAACTTGTCTACTGAGACCTCATGTTGCATCCACATTAAGCAAATTTTGACATATAATATTCTAGATGTTATGTCAATTTCCCTCTTGAGCTTAAAAACACACATACTTCCATCATACTACAGATTTTTTTCTTAGATGCCTTATTAAATACTATTTTCTGTAAAAATATTAAAGAATTCCAAATGTCAAAGGTGGCATTGGCCCATTCCCCAGAAAAGGGCAATAGTCAGTGTTTACAATGTCTAAATATTCAATTTTGTAATAAAAGCTGGTATTAACTATACTAATTTACCTGTAAAACTGTGATCCAGATCTGTTCTACTGAAGAATTATAAAACAATTTCACATTCAGTCTCCCAAAGTCCCTTTCATCTCCTGATAGAGTAATTGTATCTGAATTATAAAAGGACAAAGATGTTTCAAATGCCATGCAATCCTTCTAACCCAATTAAGCTTTGACACAATCCAATTTTAAGAGCACAATTTTAAAATGCTACAATTATTTTTTAAAGTTCACAATCTAAGAAGACAAAAATCACACTTTAATATATTTATTGAAGCACTAGAGGGAAGATATATACTATAAAAAGGTCTCATGGTTTTAAAAACTTAACCTAATTGCAGTGAGGGATTTAAATTAAAACTAAGAGAAATCTTTCCAAATAACATTTATATGGCCTTAATACTGTATTCTTCTGGAGGCTCCTTCACTAGTACACTTTAATACAAACAAAAGATATTCAACTGCTTCATCACTTTTTAAAAAGCCACACTTGTACCTGAACACTGAGAAATGGACCATGTGATCTGAGTATCCATATGCTGATAACACTACCAACATAGTTTTATTTAGACTTAATTTATTATATCAACATAGTAGATACAATCATCTAGAGTTTTTCACCTTATATACACTTTCAAGTTACTACTGAGTAGAAATAATTATCTTAAGAGTATAAAAGTAGGATACTTTATTCCTTACCCAGGCTTCTGTTACTCCCCTGAGAATTTTTCCTTGAAGAAGAACTACTGGGTACACTGGACAATGAATCATGTCTCTATAAATAAAATTATTCTTTAGTCAGAAATTGCATATGAAACCTTAAGGATTCTGATACATATGCCTCAATATCCATCCTAGTAACAAACTGCATGCTAACTATTTTGACAGTGTTACAGGTCAGAATTTCCCACTTACAGGTAGTGGAAAAAAAAAAAAAAAGCTTTTGGCATTTGTTAGGAATATCTTAAATATCTTACAAGATGATATACTGGAAAGCCTTTGCTGTTTTGGTTTGGTTTTGTAATAAGGAGAAAGATATTACTGCTTAAGTTTCATACCTGAGAGTATTAACGAAAATGAGAATTTATTTAGAAATAGCCTGCTATGGAAAAACTTGTAAAGCAGCAATTATCAAAGCATAGTCAATCTGGACCTGCAGAAACAGTATCATTTGGAACTTGGTAGCAATACAAACTCAGGCCCTACTGCAGAGCTACTGAATTAAGAACTCTGAGGATGAAGCCTGTCATCCTGTGTTTTAACAAGCTCTCCAAACAATTCTGATGTGTGTTAAACAACTGCTGCTATAAAAAAATTAAATCTATAAAAAGTTAACTCACTTGAGGATTAAGGATTATCTAGAATATATTTCCATTTTAAAAAATATATGTACATATATTCACATGGAAACAAGACCATGAGTACACATAACAATATTTTCACATTGCACTTACTCTGAGTTATAGGAAATATGGGAATTTGTCTTTCTACTTTGCTTACTTCTATTTCCTAATTTTAAATAATTACAGTTTACTTGTAATAAAAAAGAAACATTTTTTAAAACATCAAAATAATTCTCAATTCCTTTTCAAAACCAGGAGGATGCAGTGTTAACATCAGTGAATAAAGTCCTACATCTCAAAAGAAATATAATTTTTAAAACTAGCTGGTTATATTCAGTAAGAAAAGCTAAATTAATAAGCACTTTTAATTACACCATTTTAAATACCAACTGTTTCAAGGTTCCCTGAGAGCATACCAACTGAGATATAAAATTTATTGAAAAAAGAAAAACTACTGCCTTTTAGCAATCAAATAACAGCTTTCTAAAATAATATACATGGGAAATATCAATTATTTATTCTTCAGATATCAGAACAGATACATCTACAAAAAATATACAGCATATTCCTAATGTAATTCATACATTTCTGAATTTTTAATTTGAAAGGAAATTATCACATATAATTAAATTTATGTAGATAATTCACCTGGATGAATCGCTGAGATGAGTTTGTAAGATCAAACATAGATTTGCTTAGCCCAGGGGAACCGGGAAGTTTGTTCGTCCTTAAATCACAAACTACAAAGGGATATGAGAAAAGTATATATTTTTAAGAAACACTGGAATTCTACTTAATTACCATGAACTAAATCTCTGTAGCAATACATCATGAATATTTTGTGCAAATCTACAGAAGAGATAAAGCCTTCTAATAAAAATTTTTTAAACTTAAAAAAATTTTTTTCAGTTATTTTATTTTTGTTTGAAACAGAAATCAACACAAATCAAACAACACATTTTCACATCCACATCAATTATCAAACAGGGAAAATTACTTTTTTCTTTACATTCCCCATTCCTTGATCCAATAAATATAATCTAAGAGTAAACACTCTGTATTAAGTGTAGTGCAACTATTTATTATTAATAAGCATGTATTACTTTTAAAAATCAATACTCAATCCCATGTGCTCCTATATTTCTAGTCTGTATTTTTAGTTTCCCTCCTACACTGTAAGATCTGTGAAGAAAGGAACTTTGTATGCCAATTGTATATTCTAGCACAGTAGTGAACGTAAGGCAGGCCCTTAAATAAGCATTTCTTCTTTATTTTCAGTACCTCACCCTAAATTCACTGGTTGAGAGAGATATATATATATACACACACACATATGTATACATATATACATATATATACACACACATATGTATACATATATACATATATATACACACACATATGTATACATATATACATATATACACATACATATATATGTGTGTGTGTATATATATATATATATCCTGAAAAACTGAGAATTTTGTGAATCACAGACGAACATGATAGACTATAATTCACACAGTCTCAAATATGAAACTACAAAAGCTCTATAATCACTTAAGCAGTTTGTTTATATTTCCCATCACACCATGAGTTTCTAAATTCATCATTTTCACTGAATACAGAAAAAAATGAAAAAAATATTACTGTATTTAGTACAACATATCTATGTACAAATAGCTGTTGAAGAGTTTATGAATATACAGGTGACAAGTGAAATGCATACAAAATAATCTGGGCTGGTGTAGTGGCTCATGCCTGTAATCCCAGCAATTTGGGAGGCCAAGGCAGGAGGATTGCTTCAGCCCAGGATTTTGAGCCTAACCTGGGCAACATGGCAAAACCCCATCTCTACAAAAAAATTCAAAAAAATTAGTCAGGTGTGGTGGCACACTTCTGTAGCCCCAGCTTCTGCGGTGGGGCAGGGGTGATGGGGAGCTGAGGTGTGAGAATCACTTGAGCCTGGGAGGTTGATGCTGCAGTGAGCTGAGATTGCACCACTGCACTCCGGCCTGGGCAACAAAGTGAGACTCTGTCTCAAAACAACAACAACAACAAAAAGACAAAATAATCTGAAAACAAAACTTCTTTCTTCTTTATGTTTTTTCCCTTGTACCTGGTATGTAGCTAACTTCTTTCTCTTTTGTTATATGTATTTATCATGAACAACATAATGCTTTAAAGTATATATACATTGCAGAATGATTAAATCTAGCTAATTTACAAATGTATTACCTCACAGTTATCACTTTTGAATGATAACAAAAAGTGTTTTGAGAACACCTAATATCCACTCTCTTAGCACTTTTCAAGAATATATCATAATTAACTATAGTCTCCATGTTGTATAAAAGATCTCTTGAACCAAAGCTTCTTTCAAAAAAGGGAAATTAAATGGAATTTAGAACTACCAACAGATATAACTCATTAATCTTTCAATTCTTATATTAGATATAATACTACAGAGATGTCATAACGTTTATCACATTTATGAAGCTTGTTTTCTTATTTTTAAAATGCTTTTAATAGTAAAAATCATTTATTCCCATATCTTACATTTGATTTCTAAATTTCTTAAAGAGAAACACAGAGAGGAAAAGCACAAAAGATCTTCATACCCGATCCATACAGTCTCTTCACTTCTGAACGGGGAGGAAAGCGTCGACTCAAATCAGGTGAAATGTGCTGATACATATAGAATGGGTTATACACATCATAGCTAGGTCCGTGCTGGGATGAACTGGAAAGTTCTACCTTTCGATCTCCAAAAGATGCTCTGGCAGATCCTGAAAGCAAATGTTTCTAAAAGTTTATAACATCCTTTTCTTGGAGTTATTAGCCAACAGCTGGTACACCCAGGGTAAAAGAAAAAATATTTTGTCTCAAGTAATACTAAATCACATGTCTTTGATAGCTAAAAAGATCAGCACATATTTAGGGAGTTCTGTGTGAAGTATTATGCCAAGGATCAGCCATTAAGCCTGCATTTAAGACAGTCTGGTATATTTCTGGCATTTTTCTTTGCCCCATAGACAATTCTGTATTGTGTGATCTGAGTTTCCTCTTATTTTTCTACTTATATATAGAACATCTTTTAAATTACAAGATTGGGGGGGGAGATACATCCTTTTCAAGAAGACGTAGAACATTTATTAAAATTGACCACATGCTGAGATACACCGAGAAACTCTCAAATTTGGAAGGACTGAAATCATACAAAGTACGTTTTCTTACTACAATGCAATTAAGTTGGAAATCAAATAGCAAAAATAAAAATAAAAACTATTTATATGGAAACACTAAAGACCAAGAATAACCAAAAACTTAATCTTTAAGAAGAAAAACAAGACTGAAAGATTCGCTCTACTGGGAATTAGGAATATAATATTGGTAAGTGATAGAAAAAGAGATCAATAGCAAAGAAAAGAAGGCCTAGAAATAGACACCCGTTTCATGAACACTTACTTTATAATTAAGGTGGCACTGCACAAGAAAGAATGATCTTTTCACTAAAAGGTGATAAGACAACTGGATATCAACAGGGAAAAAATAAGCCTGCATTCAACTAAAGATATTCACAAAAAAATTAGTTCCATGGGGATTGTAGATCTAAATGAAATATTACAGACAAACCAATAAAGCTTCTATATTCAGGTTAACTGATAAGAAAGTTTTCATGACCTTAGGACAGGGAAGCATTTCTTAAATGGAACATAAAGAGCATTAATCATATACATACATATATACACACACACACACACACACACGTACATACATACACACACACACACACATATATATATATAATTTTATTTATTTATTTATTATTATTTTTGAAGTTGATTCTCACTCTGTTGCCCAGGCTGGAATGCAGTGGCATGATCTCGGCTCACTGAAACCTCCACCTTCTGGGTTCAAGCTATTCTCCTGCCTCAGCCTCCGAAGTAGCTGGGATTACAGGCACACGCCACCACGCCAGCTAAGTTTTTGTATTTTTAGTAGAGATGGGGTTTCACTCACCATGTTGGCCAGGCTGGTCTTGAACTCCTGGGTTCAAGTGATCCACCGCCTCAGCCTCCCAAAGTGCTGGGATTACAGGCATGAACCACCACGACCAGCCTAATCATAGACATATTTTAATAAACTAAACTACATTAAAATTTAAAATTCCCATTTGTCAAAGACTATTTAAGGTAACCCACAGAGTGAAAGAAGATATGTGCAACAAGTATAACTGACAAAGGGCTCATATGCA
Organism: Homo sapiens; assembly: GCF_000001405.40. Taxonomy (NCBI): domain Eukaryota; kingdom Metazoa; phylum Chordata; class Mammalia; order Primates; family Hominidae; genus Homo; species Homo sapiens. The sequence goes on from NT_187598.1 coordinate 271,686, forward strand.
TCCAAGTACTAACCAGGCCCGACCCTGCTTAGCTTCTGAGATCAGATGAGATCAGGAGCATTCAGGGTGGTATGGCCATAAAGGGCTCATATCCAGAATACATGAGGAACACCTACAAATCATAAGAAATCAATAAGAAAAAGACAGACGAGACTATACATAAATTGGCTTAAGACATTGATAGGCACTTCAGAAGACAATCAATCTCATTAGTCATGAGGAAAAAATAAGTTGAAAACCCAAGGAAATACCACTACACACTCACCAGAATGGTTAAAAGCAAAAAGACGGACAATAGTACGTGTTGGCAAGAAAGTAGAGGAATGTAAACGATCATACTCTGCTAGTGGAAATGTAAATTGATATAATCACTATGGAAAAAGAGTTTGGCAATTTCTACTAAAGCCGAAGATATTTATATTCTATGACCCAACAAGCCATTCTGAACATATACACAACTGAAGTGCTTGTACATGTGCACCAAGAGATAGGTATAAGAATGTTCGTAAGTATTATTACCCATAATAGCCAAAAAATTGGAAAACTCAAAATTCCATCAACAGTAAAATAGATATAGTATATACTTACTACATACAAATTCCTTATAATATGCTACACAGAAACACTACTGTACACTATGCCATTTAGAATACAGAACGAATTATAATATACACTTACTGTACAGATACAAAAACAAACTAAAACTACTGACAATTACTTGAATTAATCTAAAAAACATAATGTTGAATGAGAAAACCATAAACAAAAGAATACAGACTGAATAAATTATTTATATTAAGTTCAGAAAACAGAAAAAATTAAACTACAATATTCAGGGATATGAGCTTAGGTGGTAAGAAGAAAGGCAAGAGAGTCATGATTGTAACAATGGTGACACTGAACACTCTAGGGTGACTGAAAGGCAAAAAAATGGAGAGAAGCTATGGGGTTACTAGTACTACTCTATGTCTTTACCTAGGCTGTACCTACATGGGTATTCTGCTTTGTAATAAATCACTGAGCTGTATGTTTCTGTTTTGTGCATTTTTCTACGTGTATAATATTTCATAATTTAAAAAAGAAAATATAGGTCAAATTCCTTTCAAGGTTAATAATCATGTTGGGAATAATATGTAGACATAAAGCTAAATTCTTCAAAGGTTTAAATTATTGTAATTCTCTGTATAACAACATTGTGGTCAACTATGGACCACATATACGACAGTGGTTCCATAAGATTATAATGAAGCCAAAAAGTTCCTATGGTCTAGTGACATGGCAATGATTGTCATCAAGATACGTAGGCCTAGGCTAATGTGGATGTTTGTGTCTAAGTTTTTAACAAAAAAGTTTAAGAAGTAAAAAAAAAAGTTTTTAATAGAAAAAAGCTTATAGAGTAAGGATATAAATATTTTTGTATAGCTGCACACTGTGTTTATATTTAAGCCAAGTATTATTACAAAAAAGTCAAAAGTTTTAAAATATTTAAAAGTTTAGGCCAGGCATGGCGGCTTACGCCTGTAATCCCAGCACTTTGAAAGGGCGAGGTGGGCAGATCACGAGGTTAAGAGATCAAGACCATCCTGGCCAACATAGTGAAATCCAGTCTCTACTAAAAATACAAATTAGCTGTGTGTGGTGGCCCGCGCCTGTAGTCCCAGCTACTTGGGAGGCTGAGGCAGGAGAATCGCTTGAACCTGGGAGGCAGAGGTTGCAGTGAGCCAGGATCGTGCCACTGCACTCCAGCTTGGTGACAGACTGAGACTCCGTTTCAAAAAAAAAAAAGTTTATACAGTAAAAAGTTACAGTAAGCTAAGGGTGATTTATTGTTGAAGAAACAAAAATATATTTAATAAATTTAGTATATCCTAAGGGTACAGCATTTATAAAATCCACAGTAGTATACAGTAATGTCCTAGTTTTCACATTCACTCACTACTCACTCACTGACTCACCCAAAACAACTTACAGCCCTGCAAGCTCCATTCATGATAAATGCCCTATACAGGTGTGATATGGCTTGGCTGTGTCCCCATCCAAATCTCATCTTTAATTGTAGCTCCTATAATTCTCATGTGTTGTGGGAGAGACCTGGTGGGAGATAACTGAATCATGGGGACAGTTTCCCCCAGACTGTACTTGTGGTAGTGAATAAGTCTCAAGAGATCTGATGGTTTTTTTAAAGGGGTTTCCCCTTTTGCTTGGCTCTCATTCTCTCTTGCCTGCTACCATGTAAGATGTGTCTTTCTCCTTCCACCATGATTGTAAGGCCTCCCCAGCCACGTGGAACTGTGAGTCCATTAAACCTCTTTTTCTTTATAAATTACCTAAACTCAGGTATGTCTTCATCAGCAGCATGAAAATGGACTAATATAGTAAACTGGTACCAGGAGTGGGGTGCTGCTGTAAAGATACCCAAAAATGTGGAAGCAACTTTGGAACTGAGTAACAGGCAGAGGTTGGAACAGTTTGGAGGGCTCAGAAGAAGACAGGAAGATGTGGGAAAGTTAGGAACTGCCTAGAGACTTGTTGAGTGGCTTTGACCAAAATGCTGATAATGACATAGACAATGAAATCCAGGCCAAGGTGGTCTCAGGTAGAGATGAGGAACTTGTTGGGAACTGCAGTAAAAGTGGCTCTTGCTATGTTTTAGCAAAGACACTGGTGTCATTTTGCCCCTGCTGTAGAGATTTCCGAAACTTTGAACTTGAGGGAGATGATTTAGGGTATCTGGTGGAAGAAATTTCTAAGCAGCAAAGCATTCAAGAGGTGACCTGGCTGCTGTTAAAAGCATTCAGTTTTAAAAGAGAGCATAAAAGTTCGAAAAATTTGCAGACTGTCAATGCAATAGAAAAAAAAAACACATTTTCTGAGGAGAAATTCAAGCCACCTGCAGAAATTTGCATAGGTGACAAGGAGCCAAATGTTAATCATCAAGACAATGGGAAAATGTCTTCAGGCTATGTCAGAGACCTTTGCAGCAAGCCCTCCCATCACAGGCCCAGAGGTCCAGGAGGAAAAAGTGGTTTCATGGGCCAGGCCCAGGGCCCCCCTGTTGTGTGCAGCCTAGGGACTTGGTGCCCTGCATCCCAGTTGCTCTAGCAATGGCTAAAGGGGCCAAGGTACAGCTTGGGCCATGGCTTCAGAGGGTGGAAGCCCCAAGTCTTGGCAGCTTCCACATGGTTGAGCCTGCAGGTGCATAGAAGTCACAAGAATTGAGGTTTGGGAACCTCCTCCTAGATTTCAGAGGATGTAAGGAAATGCCTGGATGTCCAGGCAAACGTTTGCTGCAGAGGTGGGGCCCTCATGGAGAACCTCTGCTAGGGCAGTATGGAAGGGAAATGTGGAGTTGAAGCCCCCACAGAGTCTCCACTGGGGCACTGCCTAGTAGAGCTGTGAGAAGAAGGCCACCATCCTCCAGACCCCAGAATGGTAGATCCACCAACAGTTTGCATTGTGCACCTGGAAAAGCCACAGATACTCAACACCAGCCCGTGAAAGCAGCTAGGAGGGAAGCTGTACCTTGCAAAGCCACAGGGGTGGAGCTGCCCAAGACCATGGTAACCCACCTCTTGCATTAGCATGACCTGGATGCGAGACATGGAGTCAAAGGTTATCATTCTGGAGCTTTAAGATTTGACTGCCCTGCTGGATTGTGGACTTGCATGGGGCCCTTAGCCCCTTCATTTCAGCCAATTTATCCCATTTGGAATGGGTGTATTTATCCAATGTCTATACTCCTATTGTATCTAGGAAGTAATTAACTTTTGATTTTGCAGGCTCATAGGCGGAAGGGACTTGCTTTGTCTCAGATGAGACTTTGAATTGTGGACTTTTGAGTTCATGCTGAAATGAGTTAAGACTTTGGGGGACTGTTGGGAAGGCATAATTGGTTTTGAAATGTGAGGATGTGAGACTTGGGAGGGGCCAGGGGCAGAATGGTATGGTTTGGCTGTGTCCCCACCCAAATCTCATCTTGAATTGTAGCTCCCCTAATTCCCACATGTTGTGGGAGACACCTGGTAGGAGATAATTGAATCATAGGGGCAGTTTCTCCCATACTGTTCTTGTGATAGTGAATAAGTCTCAGATCTGATGGTTTTATAAGGGGTTTCCCCTTTTGCTTGGCTCTCATTGTCTCTTACCTGCTGCCATGTAAGACATGCCTTTCACCTTCTGCCATGATTGTCAGGCCTTCCCAGCCACATGGAACTGTGATTCCATTAAACCTCTTTTTCATCATAAATTACCCAGTCTCAGGTATGTATTCATCAGCAGCGTGAGAACAGACTAATACAAGGTGTATCATCTTTTAACTTTTATACCATATTTTTACTGTACTGAATACTGTATTTAGTATAGTATACAGCATAGTAACATATTGTATAGGTTTGTAGCCTAGGAGAAATATGGTATCCATATAGCCTAAGTGTTTAGTAGGCTACACCATCTAGGTTTGTGTAAGTGCCTCTACACTGTCCATGCAATTATAAGATAGCTTAACAACAACATTTCTCAGAACATATCGCCATTGTTAAATGATTCCTGACTGTGCTTGCAACACAATTTTAGTCATTATTGATAGCAGTCTGCTCTATTCACTCAAAATCTTCTCTTTTCTCAACCCATCATTCACGTGCATACATACATACACATATTTAACTTCTTTAATTAGGTACCACCTTACTTTCTTGACTCTAATAAAAGTAATTTTCTCTTTAATATATACAAATCAGATGGTTTTACCACTTCTTCAGTGAACCTATAATTTAGGAGTTAACCAATTTCTTCCTCATTCAACTCAAAAAGCAATGTTTTCTAGTGAGCACAATGTCAAGAACATAAGAAAAACTATCACATATTTCCAGGTGGATATTTCTTACCTTTTTTCTGATTATGAAAATAATAGAGTAAAAACTCAAAATTATTTAAGAATAGAAAATTCATTAAAAAAATTACAGTATGTCCATATGAAGAAATACTATGTATTCATCAAAAAGCAACAAATATGAAATGTTCACAACATATTATGTGGATGAAACAACTTACAAGGCTGCATGGTTTAATCCCAATGTTGTTAATAAGTATGAAAAAAAAAGAGAAAGATCAATTGATTGGGTATTCTGTAAGCCAGAACTTTTTAAAACTATTTTTGAGAAACACTATTGATATGCGCAAAGTAAGATGATAGGCCAGGCACTAGGTTCATCTTTTCTTTTCTCTAAAAAATTAAAATTGGGCCAGGCATGGTAGCTCACGTCTGTAATCCCAGCAATTTGGGAGCCCAAGGTGGGTGGAATGCTTGAGAATAGGAGTTCAAGACCAGCCTGGCCAACATGATGAAACCCCATCTCTATAAATACAAAAACTAGCTGGGTGTGGTGGTGTGCACCTGTAGTCCTAGTTACTCAGGAGGCTGAGGCATGAGAATTGTTTGAACACAGGAGATGGAGGCTGCAGTAAGCCAAAACCATGCCACTGCACTCCAGCCTGGGCAACAGAGTGAGACTCTGTCTCAAAAAAACAAATTTTAATTTAAAATTTAAAAAATCACTCCTACCAGACCCAACTCTCTTGTAGGTAACAATAAACTCTAGACCAAAACTAAAACAAAGCAAGAAAATAAAAACCCTGAAGGCAATGAAGAGTAAAGAAAAGTAATACAGATCTGGACAGGAGTTGATTCTGGGGAAAAAGGTAATGGCACAAAGTGAGTTATCTGTTTTTAATGACTTTTAGCCTGAGTACACATCAAAGTTGGCAACACGCAGGGTATATAAAACCCCAATAGAAAACTCACAGTCTTTCTAGCCTGAAGAACCACAGGGTACAGTTCAAGAAAATCAGAGCTGCAGGAAAGTAAGGTGGGAATCCTGGAAAGGAGAGATTCCCAAATTCTGTAAATAAAGCCTTTTCAAATATCTGTCTCATCTCTGAACTACCACCCAAGAGCTGCCACCCAAGACAAAATCTGTAGTTTAAGTCCAACCAGTTTACTTGTCTGGTAGGAGGGAGGAAGAAAGAAAGGAAGGAAGGGAAGGAAGGTGTGTTAGTCTGTTTGTGCCACTATAAAGGAATATCTGAGGATGGGTAATTTATAAAGAAAAGCAGTTTCATTTGCTTGCTGTTTTGTAGTGTGTACAGGAAGCATGGTGCCAGCATCTGCTTCTAATCAGGGACTCAGGAAGCTTACAATCATGGCAGAAGGCAAAAAGAGAACAGGCACATCACACGGCAACAGCAGGAGCAAGAGATGGGCAGTGGAGGTGCCAGGCTCTTTTAAACAACCAGATCTCACAGGAACTCAGAGCTAGAACTCACTTATCACCAAGGAGATGGTGCTAAGCCATACATGAGGGATCTGCCCCCATGATCCAAACACCTCCCACCAGGCCCCACCTCCAACATTGGGAATCACATGAATTTGGCGGGGCCAAACATCCAAACCATATCAGGAGGGAAAGGAGAAAGGGAAGGAGGAAGGGAGGGATGAAAGAAGAGAAGTAGGAAGGGAGGATGGGAGAAAGGGAGGAAAGAAGGAACCTTTTCAGAAGAATGTAACTGAATCTAGAGTCTCCACAACATAACATTCAATATTTTTGATATTGATATCAAGAATACAACCCCAAATTACTCCATATACAAAGAAACAGGAAAATGTGATCTATTTTCAAGAAAAAAGACAATCCACAGAATCCAAACCTAGATGATCAAGATGCTGAAATCACCAGATAAAGATTTTAAAGCTTAAAAACATAAAAGAAAATAGGTTTGCAATACTGTAAAAATAAGAAATTGCAGTAGAGGAAATCTATAACAAAGAACCAAATGTAAACTCTAGAACTAAAAAATGCAATGTCTAAAATAAAAAATTCATGAATAGGCTTAACAGCAGGCTAAAGATAACAGACGAGACAGTGAACTTGAAAAAAAGATCAATATTATTGAATCTAAAGAACAGAGAAAAAAAGATACTTGAAAAAAAAAAGTCTCAGAGACCCATAGAACAATATCAAAAGGTTCAACATAGGTATAATCGGAATCCCAGAAGCAGAAAAGAGAGGGGATAAGACAAAAAATATTTGGACAAATATTGTAGATCTTGATAGAGATTTGGATTACACTGACATATACTTTTGTCAATATTCAACAAATATACACTTAAAATTCAACAAATACACACAAAATTCTACAAATACTCACTTGGGCAGCTCACTGTGTGTAAAATTTATGCCAAAAGAAGAAAACTGTAAAGAGATCGTTGAACCCAGTAAATGATATATATGTTTAAGTGTTTGCAAGGAAATATATTGGTGTCTTCAATTTACTCTGAAATTCATTCCTCTCCAAAAAGTGGATTAATAATGGATAGAAGAATGGATAGGTAGACAGATATTTGCTAAAGCAAGTATAGTAAGTAATCTTAATGGCAGAATTTATGTGGTGGACATACAGGTCTTCACTATTAAGTTTTTTTTTTATTTTCCTGTATGTTTGAAATTTTTCTAATAAAATTTTGAGGGTAAAAAAGCTATTGTGACTTACAGTGTTTCAATGGACTAATACAAATTGTTTTTTAAAAAAACAAGACAAGAGCTACATGTTGTTTCATCTTCTCTCTAATAATTTGGCTTCTACATCAGCCAAATTCTGCCAATGGATCTACCTCATTCAAGTAACTATTTAGACTGGGAAGTACAACCTGGTAGAAGAAAGAAGAGAAGGAAAAGTGATTACTAACCAAATATTAGAAATTAATAAATAAGAAACATGTTTTCTACATTTACTAACTCCTTTACTTTTTCATTCTAGACATGTGACGGATAACTGAGGTATTCTAATTACAGTTATCCCTCAGTATATGTGGGGGATTGGTTCCAGCCCTCTATGGATACCAAAATCCATGGATGCTCAAGTCCCTTATATAAATGGTGTAGTATTTGCACATAACCTATGCACATCCTCCCATATGCTTTAAATCATCTCTTGATTACTTATAATACCTAACGCAATGTAAATGCTACTGAGATAGTTGTCATATTGTATTGTTCAGGGAAAAAATGACAAGAAAAAAGTCTGCACATGTTCAGTACAGATGCAATCATTCTTTTTTTTTTTCTGAATATTTTTGAGGTGCAGTTGGTTAAATCCACAGATGTGGAACCCAAAGATATGGAGGGCCAATTACATATTATTTCTTGAAAAAAGGCCAATTCTACATACAAATTATTGTATTATGATCAGATTTCAAAATGGGACCTTTCAAAACTACTGTACATTAAGTTCTTCTACAGAAAGAGCAAAATATAAAAAGTAAAATAAAAAAATTTTATATGAATTTTGTATTAAAAATATAAAAGTAAAATAATAGCACTTAAATGCTACATATCGATTTTTAAATACTGCTATTTTATTGTTTACCTTCAAGTTCTTCCAGATGTGAAGGAGTTTCTTGTGTCCTGGGTTGAATGTAAGATAACTTAAACTTGGGCACCACAAATGGTACTTCTTTGCCATCAGATGGTAATTTGGAAAGCAAATAATCCTCAGTACAGCCAAGCTGAGGCTTTACAGAAACAGAAGTCAATGGAGGTACAGAGATAGTAGCATTTTGACTATTTGGGACTGCTGCTTTAAAATCTCTTTCCACAGAAACTGCATATAAAAGAAAAAAAAAGTCACAAATATGAATATAGGTTACATATAATAATCTAAACCTAGCATACTTTGATATTTATTTAACCATTTTAGAAGAAATTCCTGACACATAAACTACTCTTGGGTCTTACCAAACACTTCTGGAATCTACATTAATTTTGTCCAGACGATATTTGAGCAATTAATACACTACTGTTAAAGTGCATTAACTTATCATAATGGTAAAAGCAGCTTTAAAGAGTCTTATTCCCAAAAGAATTCATAGATGGAAAACAATTTTATTTTGTAGTCAGTTATATAGTGCTTTCAAGTAAAAATCTAGTCATTTAAAACTACTGTCAACAAAAGCAATTCTTTTGTTGCTGGCAGCTACCCCAGTCGTAGCTTCTATGACCCATTTTATTCATTCTTTAGAATCATATGTGATTCCTAAGCTACATGATTTAAGATGGGAGGTAAGTTATTCTTTATATATATATAATGCTATCTGTAGACTGAAAGTACAAGTACTATTCTGTAGAAATTTATGAAATGTTTTAATGTAAAAAAGAAGGCTTCATACTCAAATATACTATGAAGCTCTGCTGTAGATTAGGAAATAAAAGTGCCAGAGAAGAGATAAGGGAGCCATGCAATAGAAAAAGAACTCTCCAGGGGTCCTTAATAAATGTGAGTCTTCATAGTTATGAGTCTCTTCCCCATTGGTCATTCATTCATTCAAGGCATTTTTAATGTTATACACATATTGTAGATTGTCTTTATTTAAATCAAAACATTGGTCAGAATATGTTGTCTCCCAAACATACTTCTCTTCCCTCCCTGTCTTTGCCTGTACTATTTCATCCACCTGTAATGCCCATGTCCAATTTTCAGTTTCTCTTCCTTCTTCCCACCCAACTTGCTAAAATCCTATTCAGATTTCCATAGCAAATGCAATTTTCTTTATGGTAATATCTTACGAATCCCCTGGGTTGAATTACTCTCTCTCTCCCCTATGCTCCAGACTACTTGAAGTTATGGAATATTTACTTAGTGTGCCTTATGTTTCTGCCTCCCCTAAGAAGTTGGAAAACATGCCTAATTCTTTATATTACAAAATGCCACAAATGAAGAAGATGCTACATAAATGTTACTGAAGTCAAAATAAAACTCACAGTTGTGTTTTTCTGTTTCACCATAGAAACATCCTCCACAGCAACTCTTTATAAATTCTGTTGCCATTACATTCAATTTCCAATATCCAGCAAAAGACACAAACTTCCAATCTTAATATTAATCTGTTGGTAGAATAGAAAACAAGTTAACCTGCTTGTCATGCTTAATACCATTAGATATTACTAAATAAACCACATTATCTGTCTTTCTAAGACATAATGAGGATTCTGAAGCAAAAATACTTGAGGAAGATAGATTTTTGTAACCATATGAAATTCTGTATAACTTATTTGTAAGTTATTAAAATTATGTTTAAAAATTACTAAATGAACAATCTCAATGTTAAAATCTGGAAAAAAAAAGAAAAATTCCATTCTTAATTTTCTTTCACGAAAAATAAGATGGAAGATTGAGTGAAGAGATATAGAGTAACAAGAGGGGTGTGTTTATGAGAGAGAGAGAGAGAGAAGGGACAGTGTGGAAAAAGAAGAGCAACATGGAAGAAATACAGAAAAACAAAGAAAAAAAGAGAGAAAGAAGAAAAAAGAAAGAGGTAAACTAGGACATGTGCTGATAAAACAGCAAGAAACCTAAGACAAGAGCACATAGAATTAGGAAGAAATGTTTGGGAAGGGAGATGAAAAGGGAAAGGTCAAAAAAAAAAAAAGTCAAGGGCAAACCTAGAAATAGAGAGTGGAGACTAGACAGCAGGAGAGACAGAGTGAGCTGAGGCACAGAGAGAGAAAAGAAATAAAGAGGAGAAGAGTAGAATGAAGCGGAGAGAGAGGGAAGGAGAAATGAAGATGACAGCAAGATGAGAAGTATAAAAGGGCAGACAAATCAAAGAAAAAGAAGGATGGAGAAAGAGGTAAGAAAAGGAGAGGGGAAAACACAAAATGTAAAAGAAAAGAGATGAAAAGAAAAAACATTCAAAGAAACAGTGAAAGTTAGAAACTGAAAAAAGGAGGAAAGATGAGAAAAGGGGAAAAAGATTGAGATAGAGAAGCAGAGTGAATTTAGGAACATTGGTCAAAGAATACAAAATTAGTTTTGATAAGAGAAATAGGTTGAATAGCATTACTCCATGTGAATATAGCTAATGAAGATCTGCAGTACTCTTGAGAGATGCTAAGGCTGGATGTTTACTGTTCTCTCCACAAAAATAACTATGTCAGGTAATGCAGATGTAAGCTAGATTTAATCATTTCACAATGTATAGGCACTTCAAAACATCACATTGTATACAATAAATACATACAATTTGTTCAATTTGAAAAGTAAAGAAAAAGCATATTTAAAAAAAAGTAAAGAGTGGTAAAGGAGACAGGGTTAGAGAGGTAGGAGAACACAGGGATAAATAAAAACAGACTAGGAGAAATGGAGATGAAATTAAAAAGCTGATAAAGAAACTAAGTATCTTAAAGGAAAGTTTATTCATTATTATACTCTAATAAATACACATATAGTATAACTAAAACAATTTTTCTCTTTCACCTGATCTATCTAAATCTATGTTCAAGCAAAAGTTAAAAGAAAACATGGCACCCCATAAAAAGTGTGAGAAAACATTCACTTCCTCCAGATCAATTATTCTGGTAATTCAAAGGCCCTATAATGGGCACCAATAAACAAATAAACTGCATACTTCATGAATTATTTTAATCTTTAGAGTTATACTAATAGAAAAGTATACCTTAAGCACTACATCACATACACACAAAAAGACACCACAAATAAGATATAGAGCAAATAAAGGAAGTCTATTTTACATTTACCAGGAAATTAAATTGTATAAGAACTTCATGTCCAATTTCCTATTGTCCTTGGTCTCAGTGCCTTTGTTCTAAATGCACTGCCTTCATTTATGCCTACTTAAACTCCATACGTTTTTCACAGGAGGTTTTAAACATATGCGAAGAAGTATAACAAAACCCTAATCACTCAGATTAAAATAATTATCAACTCATGGCAAATCTTATTTCATCTCTGCCTCCCCATATACCCTGTCCTTTGGATTATTTTGAAATAAATTCTAATCATATAATTTCATCCATAAACACATAAATAATGATCTCCAAAAGATGTGGCAAAGGACTTAGGAGTTAACTTCAAGGGGCTCTCACTGGCTGAAGGTGAATCATTTCAAGTATTAATACAAACAGTATCTGTAATGAATGGTAACATATCAAACATTTCTAAAATGTTGCTCTTTTTAAACATAACCATAATAGTATTATCATGTGTAAAATAATTAATGTCATCAACTACTTGTTCACTGTTCAAATTTCCCCTATGGTCTCAATTTGTATAGTTGTTTTGTTGAAATTCAGATCAAATTTTAAATTGTTTCATCTTTTGTTATTAGAAGTAGTGCCACAGTAGCTTTGTGCACACATATTTCTCAGATATTTCTCAGTATATATCTGTAAGATAGATTCCTAGAGATAAGACTATGGGGCCAAAAGGTGTATATGTGTAATTTTGCTTGTATTGCCAAAATTCTCTCTGAAGCACACCATTTTGCATTCCCAATAGCAATATGTAAGAGTACCTTTTTCTGTTACCAACAAAATACACTGTCAAACTGATGCTTAATACCATGGACTTTTGCCAGTGTGATAGGAAAGAAATGATATACTGTGTTGTTTTAATTTATATCTCTCTTATTATAAGTGATGTTGAGCTTCTTGTCATATAAGATTAATCTGTAATTGTTTATATGAATTCTATTCACTGTCTCCTGCCGACATTTTCATAAAGCTGTTGGTCTTTTTCTTCTCCAGTTTTTGAAGCTCTTTAGATATTTGAGAGATTAACACTTTGTCCATTATACAAGTGGCAAACATCCTTCTGGTTTGTCATTTATCTTTTTACTTTGATTATGGTGTTTCTGCTATGCCAAAGTGTGTGTGTTATACAAATCATAAAATAATTTACCCATGTTTTCTTCCAGTACTTAGTACAGTATTATTTTCTATACTGACATCCTGTTATACAGTATGAGAAATGGATTCAAACTTTCCTCTTCCCAATTCGCTATCTCATTAGCACAAACACCACATATTAAAAATTCCATATTTTCTCCACTTACAGGATGCTCCCTTTAGTACACATTAAATTTCCATATGCAATTGGGTTTATTGTGTATTTTCTATTCTCTTCAATTGTTCTGTCTATTCCTGTACCAATGGTATATCATTTTAATCTTAAATTCTTATATCATGTTATAACATGTAGCAAGACAAGTCATCTTTACCCCTCTTCACTTTCTGCATTTTCTTAGCTATTCTTGCTTGTCTGTTCTCGAAAATGAACTTTATAATCTGTCTAGCCCTAGGAGGAAAAATCTGATGGTACTTTCATCAGGATCATATTAAACTTCTAAATTATTTTTTTAAAACTGACATCTCTAAGAATATTGAGTCTTCCTACACAGAACATAGTATATCTTTATATTTGTTCAAGTTTATGCTTATACCTTTAGGAGTTTTTAGAGTTCTCATAAAAATTCTGAAGATTTCTCATTAAGTGTATGCCTGTATAATTTGCTTGGCTATCATAAATGGTATCTTCTCTTCCATTACATCTTGTGACTATTTCCATTTTTAAAATGTATGCGTTTTCAAAGGCCCTGTTCAGCCCCAGCATATCAGAGTAAAATACTCCGTAACCACCCAAATCAAACGAATAGTCTCTCATCTCTAAATGTCTAGTGTCTTTAAAAAAAAAAAGTTTAACATTTTTCTTAACATTTTATGAGATCTTGTTCTGTCTCCCCTGTTAGAACATAAACTGCTCAAAAACAATATTGTACTCACTTTCTGCTTAGCACTCAGCACACTACATGATGCTGGGAATATAATTGGAACTCAGCAAATACCTAGTTGATAGATAAGGAAACAAAGTACAACTATCTCCCATAAAAACTAAGAATATATTCATCAAACCACATCTCTGACCCCAATCAGTTTGCAAATATTTAACATTAACCATGACAGGAATGTGGTAGAATTGGTTAAAAATGACTGCTACTTCAGGGGGAAAAGTCCTCAACATTGATGGCCTTGAGTCATCCAAAATGAGTTGGGGAAGATGGAGGAAGGTAGTAGAAAGAGAGAAAAGTTTATATGAATGAAATGTGAAATCTAATTAAAATGAACACCCAGTAATACACTACAGGAAAGACAGTTAAAAAACACATGGATATTTTACTTTTGTACAAAATAGAGTAACAGAGACAGATTTATCCTACCACCTGAAAAGCAAATAAAATATATGGAACAGCAATTTTCAAGACACTGGCTATCAGACAGCAAAGAACTGAGAAATAGGAACTAAATGAGGTAAGCCTTCCACCTTACTCCCTTGAGGGAGTTTCCAGGCCATGGGAAATTACCCAAGCAAAGCCGAGAAGATTTTCTGAAATGAAGAGACAAAGCTGAAAGTATGTGGAGAATAAGGCAGCGAGAGTTTGCATAACAGACTACTGTAGAATAAAGAGGTACATACAGAGAACAATGGAGATCAGCAGAGGGTCCCACTCAAGTATTCAACAGAGTACTGATCAGCACACACACAAAAAAAGGAAGCTACACAAGACTGCGGGAAAAAAACACCAGAAAAATTTACAAAAACTATACATAACTGGTATTCACCAAGGTCAGGAGTGATGCTTGTCCCCACAAATCAGACTGGAAAAGGGATCAAATTGTTTACACAAAACTTAACTGTGTCCCAAAGCAAATTTACAGAAATCCAAAAATATCCAGCATTCAAGGTAAAACTCACAATGTCTGGTATTCAATTAAAAAAAGTACCAGGTATACAAGGAAGCAAAAAAATATATAGAACCCATAATGAAGAGGAAAAAAAAATCAATCAATTAGAAACAACCTAAAATTGAGACAAGGCAGTTGAGGACACTAAAATAGTTATAGCTGGACTCAATATGTTCAAAAGGTTAAGTAGAGATATGGACGATATTAAAAAGACCCAAATCCAATTTCTAGAGATGAAAACTATAATGTCTGAGATGGAAAATATACTGGATGGGATTAATACCAGATTGGATATTGCAAAAGAAAATATTAATGAACTTGAAGGCATAGTAAGATAAACTAACTAAAATGAGACACAGAGAAAAGACTAACATCAAAATGATAAAAAGCATCTGTGACTCATGGGACAATTTCAAGTGACCCAAAATACATGTATTTGGAGTCCACAAAGAAGACTGGGGATAGGGGGGAGGGCATATTTGAAGAAATAATGGCCAAAATTTTCCAAACTTGATAACTACAAACCACAGATCTAAGAACCTCCGCCAACACTAAGGTCAGGAAACATGAAGAAAACTACACCAATGCACACCACGCCATAATAACATCATTCAAAAACAGTGATGGGAAAATCTTAAAAGCACCCAGAGAAAAAAGACATGTTATGTACATCAAAGCAAAGATTAAGAATAGCAGCATATAGTTGAGCATGGTGGTGTGTGCTTGTAATCCCAGCTACTCGGGAGGCTGAGGCATAAGAATCACTTGAATCTGGGAGGCAGAGGCTGCAATAAGCTGAGATCATGCCACTGCACTCCAGCCTGGGTGACACAGAGAGACTCTGTCTCAAAAAATTAATTAATTAATTAAAAAGGATAGTAGCATAGCTCTCAATGGAAACAAAACAAAAACAGTAGAGCAAGATCTTTAATGTACTGAAAGAAAAAAACCCATCAACCTAGAATTTGACACTCAGAGAAAATCTTTCAAAAATGTAGGTGACATAAAGACTTCTTCAGACATACAAAAGTTGAAAGAACATATTACCAACAGAGCTACACCACAAGAAGTGTTAAATGATGTCCTTCAGGCCAAAGGATAATATCTGATAGAAATATGAATCTACACAAAGGAATAAAGTGCACCATAAGTATAAATACATGATTTATTATTATTGGGATTTCTTTACAAGTTTATTAAAGCTTAGACAAAAAAATTATACTGAGACAAAAGGTTTGTAACATATGTAAAACTAAAATGTATTACATCAATAGCACAAAGGCCGGGGGAGAAATAAAAGTAAAAATGTAAATAATTATAGTATATGTGATGTGGTATCATATCATTTGAGGACTGACTGTAGAAAGTTAAAGATATATACTATAAACCCTAACACAACCACTAAAATAAGAAAACAGAGTTACAGCTTATAAGCCAACAAAGGAGATAAAATGGAATAATTTTAAAATACTCAATTAATAAAAGAAAGCAGAAAAAGAAAGGGGGAACAAAGAACAGATAGGATGAGTAGAAAACAAATAGCAAGATGATAGATTTGAACTTAATTATATCAAGAATCACAAGTGTGAATACTTTAAAATATGCCAATTAAAAGGCAGAAATTGCCAGACTGGATAAAGAAGTATGATACAAGTATATGCTGCCTACAAGAAACATTTTAAATACAAATAAGTTAAAAATAAAAGGATGGATACCCCTTGAGAACATACACCCAAAATCCTCAATGAAATACTGGCAAGCCAAATCCAGAAACGTATAAAAGATTTATGTATCATAACCAAGCAAGATTTATCCCAGGATTGCAAGATTAGTTTAACATCTGATAATCAATTCATGTAATGCATCATATTAACAGAATAAAGGACAAAAACTATAGGATAATCTCAATAGATACAAAAATTTGACAAAATCCAATATTCGTGATAAAAATACTGAGAATAGAAGAGAATCTTTCAACATAATAATAAACAGCATCTATGAAAAAATCTATAGTTAACATCACAGGAACTGGTGAAAGATTGAAAGTCTCCCTCTAAAGCCAGGAAAAAAAAAAAAGATTTCTACTCTCTCTACCTTTATTCAACACTATATTTGAGATTCTAGCTAAGCCAATTAGGCTAAAAATATTTTGTCAAAGGCATTCATCTTGGAAATCAAGAAGTAAAACACTCTTCATTCACAGACAACAAGATCTTGTAAATAAAAAAAAAAAATCTAAGAAATTCACTAACAAACTTACCAGAAGTTCACTAAGGTTGCAAGATATAAGAGAAATATACAAAAGTTAATTGCATTTCTATATACTAACCATGAACACTCCAAAAATGAAATAGAAAACAATTCCATTCATAATAACATTTTTAAAAACTTAAAATACAAATACTTTAAGAAATGAAGTACAAGACTTATACACTGCAAACCACAAGACATTACTGAAAGATATTAAAGAAGAGCTCAATACTTGTGAAGATATCCCATGTTCATGGATTGGAAGATGTAATATCATTAAAATGGTAATATTATTAATATTGCTAAGGTGGCAATACTCCCCAAATTGATCTACAGATTCAACACAATCTCTACCAAAATCCCTTCCAGCTTTTTTACAGAAATTGACAAGCTGATCCTAAAACTCATATGGGAACGTAAAGGGTGCAGAATAGCCAAAACAATCTTGGGGAAAAAAAAAGAACAAAGTGGAAAGACTAACTTCAAAATTTACTACAAAACTAGTCATCAGGACAATATAATATTAGTATAAGGACAGATAAATAAATCAATAGAATTAAATTCAGAGCCCAGAAATACACCCTTACATTTATAGTCAATTGATGTTTAACAAAGGTGCCAAGAAATTTTAAAGGGAAAGAAATAGTGTTTTCAACAAATGGTGCTAGGACACTGAATATCAATATTTATATCCACATTATATCCACATGCCCTTCCCACAAAAAAAAAAATTGGATCCCTGCCTCCCACCATATACAAAAACTAACTCAAAACTGATTATGCACCTATATGTAAGAGTTAAAACTTCAAAACTCTTAGAAGAAAACATAGGAGTAAATCTTTGTAAACTTGGGTTAGGCAGTAATTTCTTAGACACAACACCAAAAGCACACATGATCAAAGAAAAATTTGATGTACTAGATTTAATTGAAATTAAAAACTTTGTGCTTTAAAAGACACCATTAACAAAGTGAAAAGACCACTCGGAGACTGAGAGAAGATATTTGCATATCACACATCCAATAAAATATGGATTATATCCAGCATATATAAAAAACTATTACAACTTAATAATAAAAAGAAAAATAACCCAATTAAAAAATAGGCAAAAGATTTGAAAAGACACTTCTCCAAAAAAATCTACAAGTGGCCAAAAAGCACATGAAAACATGCTCAACACAGTTAGTGATTAGGAAAATGCAAATTAAAACTATAAAAAGACAACAATATACATTGATTAAAAAGGATAAAATTACAAAGATTGACCATTCCAAATGTTTATGATATGTGACAAGTAGTATTCTCCTATTCTACTGGTGGGACTGTAAAATGGCATGACCACTTTAGAAAACAGTTTGACAAGTTTCTAAAGTTGAACATATACCTGCTACATGATCCAGACATGCCATTACTACATATTTACTTAAGAAAAAAGCAATCACATGTTTACACAAAGAGTTGTACACTGGTGTTCATAGCAAATCTATTCAAAATAGCCAAAAATTGAAAACTATCAAGTATCTATCAACAGATTAATCCATTTAGAAAACAAACTGTGGCTCAATGGAACACTACTCAGAAATAAAGAAGTAAGCTGGTTAAACATGCAACAATATGGATGAATCTCAAAATAATTATGCTGGGCAAAAGAATGCCAACAAAAAGAGTATGTGCCATACAGATATGTGCCATATTCTCTTGCATTTGCTTTATTAATAACAAAGTCATATTTCAGTTCTTATTTTGTCTTTAATTTGGCTTTTCTAGCTATCTTATTAATACTGATTTGTAGCTGAACTCCACTGCATGATTCAATTTATATAAAATTGTAGAAAATGGAAATTAATCAATAGTAACAAAAAGTAGATCAGAGGCTGCCTCGGGACAGTGAGGAGTGGGGAGATGAAGCACAGAGAGGGACAGAAAGGAAGGACTTGGTGGGGCAGGAGGAAACTTTGGAGTGGGGGTAATATACTCATTATCTTTTTTTTTTTTTTTTTTGAGACAGTGTCTCGCTCTGTCGCCCAGGCTGGAGTGCAGTGGCGTGATCTCTGCTCACTGTAAGCTCTGTCTTCTGGGTTCACGCCATTCTCCTGCCTTAGCCTCCCAAGTAGCTGGGACTACAGGTGCCCACCACCACGCATGGCTAATTTTTTGTATTTTTTAGTAGAGACGGGGTTTCACCGTGTTAGCCAGGATGGTCTCGATCTCCTGACCTCGTGATCCGCCTGCTTCAGCCTCCCAAAGTGCTGGGATTACAGGCATGAGCCACCGTGCCGAGCCTATACTCATTATCTTGACTGTGGTGATGGTTTCATAGGTACATACATACATGAAAACATGAAAACATCAAATTATCGATTTCAAGTATATGTAACTTACTACATATCAATTAGACCTCAATAAACCTGAAAAAATAATACATAAGTAGAATTACAGAACATTAACAGAAAAAGAGGCCTCAAAAACATTAGCAGAGCCGAAGGCTTAGAAATCATTTTATCAGGGGCCAGGCATGGTGGCTCATGCCTGTAGTCCCAGCACTTTGGGAGGCCAAGGCGGGTGGATCACCTAAGGTCGGGAGTTCGAGACCAGCCTGACCAACCTGAAGAAACCCCATCTCTACTAAAAATAAAAAATTAGTTGGGCATGGTGGCACATGCCTGTAATCCCAGCTACTCAGGAGGCTGAGGCAGGAGAACCACTTGAACCCGGGAGGCGGAGGTTGCAGTGAGCCGAGATCACGCCATTGCACTCCAGACTGGGCAACAAGAGCAAAATTCCATCTCAAAAAAAAAAAAAAAGAAAAAAGAAATCATTTTATCAAAGTCCTTCTAATTTTACCCAAAGAAAATAATGAGTCAAGCAACTAGATAATGTTAGGTTTAGAACCAAACCCTAAGCTTCACAACTTTTTCTAATACACCACATTGCTTTAGGTAGGGTATGGGTAGAAGGGCAGGACCAGTCAGGTTAACAGACTATGTGCTGGCTATCTACATAGCCACATGTTTGCTTTTTTAGCAACAAGGAGAAACAAATATAAATGGTTAAAAGTATACTGCCTATGTTCCAATCCTGTAACTTTCACTTATTAGCTATATGACCTTAAATCTGTTACTTAACCTTTTTAACCTTCAACTTCTTCATCAATTAAAAAACAACAACAACAACAACAACAAAACACTTCTTAGGGCTATTGTGATGATCAACCAAAGTAATGCACATAAAGTATAAAACTAGTGGTAGGGCTGTTTTAAGAATAAATGTTTGCTGTCATCAGCGGCATCATTATTATATTTATTATCATCAGATCCCACTTACAACAGATCTGATTCATGCTAGGCACTTTACCCAATGCCAGAAATGATATGGGGACATTTAGCTAGAACATTCTAGTATGAGGACAGATTGTAAAAAGACTTAAATACTTCCATATCAATAGATAAAAGCTATAAACACCCTAGTCACTTTAACTCCTCCCTAGGCACCCCTGAGGTAAATGTCTGAAAAAGCAGGGGCCTCCATGACTCTGCTCCAATATTACAGTCAGTGCTCATGCACGACAAGTTGTTAAAATACTTTTAATATCACTTCCTTTTGAGATTCCCAAAGGGCTTATTTGCCTCTGCTGGTCTGACATAGTCTAGGAACAGCCTGTCTATGGTATTCTCACAAATAAAGGACAGTACATCATCACGACTTTCCCCTGCAAACCTGCTTTTCCTCTGGTATTTCCTACTACAGTGCCACTATCCAGCTAATTAACTAAGCCAGAAATACAAGTGCCATTCTTGAGTCCTTCTGCTCCCAAAATCCACACATCCAATTCATCCATTCACTTACAAGCATTTATTGAGCATCTACTATGTACTAGGCAATTTGCTAGGCACTGAAGACAAAATAGGGAACAAGACAGACAAGCTTTTGGAGCGCTTACAACAGAGGAGGGAGATAAACAGAAAAATAAACAAACACATGATACATTCAATCCAATGAGGAAAATTAACCAGGATTCAAAAGGAATGAATGTTAACTTTGTATAATCAGAAAAGACTTCTCTGAGGAGGTAACAATCCAGCTGGAACATAAACACAAGAAAGGATCAGCTAGCAAAGTTCTTGATGGTGGAGCATTCCAGAAATTGCAAAAATCTTGAGTTGTACCCACTTTGCATTATTTTGCAAGGTACTAAGCAACAGAAAGAGTAGTTAGCAGGTGAACTGTGAAATAGGCAAGGGCTAGAATTCTGTTGAGTAGAGCCCCTTAATCCTTGTAATTTTCTTTTTCTTTTCTTTTTTTTTTTTTTTTTTTTTTTTTTGGAGATGGAGTCTCGCTCTGTCATCCAGGCTGGAGTGCAGTGGTGCGATCTTGGCTCACTGCAACCTCCGCCTCCGGATTCAAGCAATTCCCTGCCTCAGCCTCCTGAGTAGCTGGGATTACAGGCACCCGCTACCATGCCCGGCTAATTTTTGTATTTTTAGTAGAGACGGGGTTTCACCATCTTGGCCAGGTTGGTCTTGAACTCCTAACCTCGTGATCCACCCGCGTCGGCCTCCCAAAGTGCTGGGATTACAGGTGTGAGCCACCGCGCCTGGCCATCCTTGTAATTTTCACACCTTCCTTTCTATTCTCAATTTGACTATTTTGATTCAGATGTTATGATACCCCAAATTACAGAGAGCCAGCTAATAGGTTTGCCTTTCAAATTCTTTTTATCCCCCCACTGTGCTGCTAAGGTCCTTCGTCTGCTTTAAGTAATGCTATATCTCTCTATCACTTTCAGGATAAAATTTATTCTGCTAAATACAATATGTGACCCTTCTCTTGCTCATCTTCCACTACTTCCTTCTGCAAATACCAAGCTTCAAAATATAACTACCTGATGTGCTAGAAACACACCATTCTCTTTTTTACTTTTGCACCTTTGAACTACGTTAGGGTAGGAATGCTTCTTGCTGTCTCTAGTTTCTTTGAGAAAGATTTGTCTGTATTAGAAAACCTACTTGCCTGCAGATACATGCCATATCTAAATTAGCTTTATTAATAACAAAGCCCTATTTCAGTTCTCCATCTGTCTTATTCTTTTGTTTTTCTTTAATTTAGATTTCCTGGCTATCTTATTGATATTGATTTGTAGCTGAATTCCACTGTGATCAGAGAAATTGTATACAATCAATGATATTCATAGTATATCATCAATTTTAATAAATGTTCCATGTACATTTGCAACTTTGAGGTGCAATGTTCCATGTACATCACTAAATCAAATTCGTTGGTCATGTTAAAATCTTCTGTATCTTGGCAGGGCATAGTGCCTCATGCCTGTAAATCCCAGTATTTTGTGGGGGCCGAGGCAGGAGGATCATTTGAGTCCAGGAGTTCAAGACCAGCCTGTACAATATAGGGAGACCCCTATCTCTACAAAAAATTAAAAAATTAGCCAGGCATAGTAGTGCATACCTGTAGTTCCAGTTACACGGGAAGCTGAGGTGGGAGGATCACTTCAGCTCAAGAAGTGGAGGCTGTGGGAAGCCGTGATCGCATCACTGCACTACAGCCTGGGTGACAGGGTGAGACCTTGTCTGAAAAAAAAAAAAAAAGCAGGAAAAAAATATGTATCTCTATTGATTTTTTTTTCTGCTTGTTTTATATAGTACTAAAAGAGATGCATCTAAAAAGAAAACTCCAACTATGACTGTGGATATATCTATTTCTCCTTTTAGTTCTATCAGATTTGTTTCATATATTTTTATTCTAATTTATGAGGTACATATAAATTTATTAATCTCCCTTTCAATCTTTAGTAATACTTCTAGAAGCCTTAATGTTGGCTTGTCTGATATAACTAGAATTTCTTTCAGTTAATATTTGCATGTTATATCTTCTTTCCATCATTTTCTTTTCAACCTTTCTGTGTTATGCTCAAGGTGTCTTTTATAAGTAGTATGTAGTTAGATTGTGTTCTACTATCCACTCTGACAATCTTTGTATTTATTTGTATTTTAACTGTATTTAGTCCAGTCATAAAGATTTAAAACTGTTTTAACATATTGGTGATTTAAATCTCTTATCATTATGGTAACTTTTTAATTTCTAGAAATGCTTTTACCCTGAAAACAATTTTGTCTGATAGTTATAGCTATGCAGCTTTCTTTTAGAAAGCATTTGTATGGAATATCTTTTTCTGTTTACTGTTTCCATTTGTTTACCAACCTTTCTGTCTCCTCATGTTTTAGATATGTCTCTTATAAATAGCATTTAGTTAAAGTGTTTTAGTCCAGATAAACAATCTTTGTCTTTTGACTGTAATATTTATTCCACTTATATTTAAGATAACTGGCTGATATATATATGAATTTAAACCTATATTTTATCCTGGGCTTTCTATTTGTCCTACTTGTTCTCTGTTTCTTTCCTTTCATCCTTCCTTGGATTGACTAAGTGTTTATGATCTTCATTTTTTTCCCTCCAATAGCTTGGATATTGTATTACTTTCCTATTGCTGTTGCAACAAATTACCACAAATTTAATGGCTTTAAATAAACTTACTATCTTACAGTTCTGGAAGTTTGAAGTCTGAAATGGGTTTCACTGAGCTAAAATCAAGGTGTTGGCAGGGCTGCATTACTTCTGGAGGCTCTATGGGAAATTCCATTCCTTTGCCTTTTCCAGTTTCTAGAAGAAACCTGCATTCCTTGGCTCATGGCCCCTTCCTCCACTTCAAAGCCAACAAGACAGCATCTTCCAGTCTCCCTGACCCCTGCTACCATTGTTACATCTTCTCTAACTCCGAATCTCCTACAATCTCTCTTTCATTTATAAAGACTCTTGCAATTACATTAGGCCAACCTGGATACTCCATAATCCAAGATAATCTCCCCATCTCAAAATCCTAAATCACATCTGTAAAGTCACTTTTTCCATGTGAGGTAACATTCACAGGTTCTGGGAATTAGGACATGGTAATCTTTGTGAGGCCATTATTCTGTATACTATAAATTTTATAAACTCAATTTCCTTTTATTTAAATAGTCACTCTGGTTGTTTTAATACACACACTTAACATGTCAAAGTCTAAAGTTAGTCCTTTTATATTCTCCTGTTGCATAGTAAAAGGACTATTAAAAGACTTTTAGCTCCTTTACATGCCAATCAATCCATGTGTGACTTAGGCATGATGTCATCATTGCACATATTTTGATTCTATCTTGTTAAAACCCCACAAAACATTATTATTCTTTTGTAAAATTAGTGTTCATTTGTATTTACAAACATATTTCACCAATTACTTTCCACTTCATTCCTTCTTACATTCCTTCCATTTCATTCTTTCTTGCATCGCCAACTGTTCATGTACAATCACATTCTTCTTGCTAATATCCTTTATGATTTACTTTAGTGAAGGTATGTTGGTAGAAAACCCTCTGTTGTTGCTGATCTGAAAATGTCCCTGATTTTTATATTTTTTTGTGAAAAGTATCAATAATATACAAAAGTATAGCAAATATAAAATAAATCCACATGGACACATTATCTAGCTTTAATTATTATCAACTCATAGTCAAACTTTTTTCCACAATATCCTCCCACTTCCAGAAATTTTGAAAACAAAAATCAAGATATAATTTTATCTGTAAATATTTCAGTATGCATCTCTAATATTTCAGTATGTATCTCTAAAAGACAATATTGAAGAACATCTAATACCAAATATAACTTTACATTTATGTTTATATTTATATTATATATCTCTTTTTTAATGCAACTACAGTACCATCACACTTTCAGAAAAATCTATAATTTCCTCATATTAGTATTCACATTTCCCCAATTTTCCTATAATTTTGTATAGCTTATTTGAGTGAAATAGGTTTAAATATTTCTTAAATCTCCTTTAATCTACAAGTTTCCTTGAAAGTATTCTGATGCTGAAACCAGGTCTCTTACCCAATAGAGTTTATCATAATAGGATTTTGCTGATTGCATTCCCATGGTGTCATTCAGCAAATCTCTGCCTATTTTTCTGTAAAATTATAGTTCAATCTATAACTTAATACAGATTTTTAGGTTTGACTTTTTATTTTTAGTAAGACTACTACATAGGTTGTAGGTACATAATGTTCAGCTTTTATTTTTTAACAGTGTTAGCAACCATTGATCATCACCCTGTATTACTCTCATTCTTAAAGATATTTCCTCTGGTTATGAATTCTAAATTATAAGCTATTTTCTTTAAGACAAAAATATCTTATTCCATTGTCTTCTGTCCCACCATTGTTATAAAGAAGGCAGCTGCTAGCATAACCACTGTTCTTTTAAAAAAAAAAAAAAATCTTTTGTCTAGGCCCTAAAGTAATGTTAAGATTTTTCTCTTTGCCTTTGGTTTTCTTCATTTCACTGTGATGTTTCTAAGTATGTACTTTTTCTTGCTGGAAATTCATTGAGATTCTTGAATATACGGATTGGTGTCTTTCCTCAGTACTGAAAAATTCTCATTCATTATCTCTTTAAATATTGTTTTTGCCCATTTCTTTTCTCTTTCTTTTCTTGCAGAAATTCTAGTTTATTAGACTTTCTCACTATAATTCCTCACTCTGATCACTCTAATTTCCATGTCTCTTCACCTCTTTTATATTTTCCATTTCTGTCTCTTTGAGTTATATTCTGAATGATTTATTCTATCTTCCAGTTCATTCAATCTCTTTGTGGAGTACATCTAATTTCCTAATTAGTAGTTAAGCTGAAAGATGAGTTTTATTACTGCATTTTTCATTAGTAGAAATTACATTTAGTTCTTTTTTCAACCTGCTGTGTAGCTCTGTCACTTTTTAGACTCCTGATCTCTGAACATATCTTTAAATCTGTCTTTTATTTACTTAAACTCAGCCCAGTATAGTTATCTTAATGATCTATGACTGGTTTTTCAAGCTTTTGTAGGTTTATTTCGAGGTTCTATCATTCTGCCAATTCTTGCTCAGGATGTCCTACTTCCTTGTACAGCTGGTTATCTTTGACAATGAATTATTCATTGACCATGAAACTGTACTGGTAGAACTTTTTAAGCTAAAAATGAAAGTATACTCCAGAGAATATCTGCATTTGTTTACCAGACCATTTTCAATTCATGCGTTGACAAATAACCCAATTCTAAAATGGACAAAAGAATTAGACATTCCTGCAAAGAAGACAGACAAATGGCCAATAAACACATTAAGAAGCGCTCAATGCCACTGATCATTAGGAAAATGCAAATCAAAACCATAATGAGATACCACTTCACACACACTAATCAAAAAGACAGACAAAAAATAAGTGTTGGTGTGGCTGTAGAGAAACTGGAACCCTCATAAATTGCTTATGAGAATGTAAAATGGTGCAGCTGTTTTGGAAAACACTTTGGCAATTCCTCAAACACTTCACACAGAGCTACCATATGACCCAGGAATTCTAATCCTAAGTAAATATACCTATGAGCATAGAAAACATATTTCCACACAAAAACATTTTACACAGATGTTCACAGCAGCAGTATTCATGATGGCCAAAAAGTAGAAACAAATCCAAATGTCCATCAATTGATGAATGAGAAAACAAAATGTGGTATACAGCCATATGATGGAATACTATTCAACCATAAAAACAAATGAAGTACTGATTCACACTACAACACAGATAAATCTTGAAAACATTATGCTAAGAAAGAAGTGAGACATAAAAGACCACATATTGTGTGATTCCATTTACATGAAATGGCCAGAATAGGCAAATCCACAGAAATGGAAAACAGATTAGTGGTTGCCAGTGACTGAGAAGGAAGAGGCAAATGGGGAATGGCTGCTAATGGGTACAAGGTTTTTTTAGGAGGGTGACAAGAGTGTTCTAGAATTATATAGTGATAGTTGCACAGCTAAATGAATATACAAAAAAAAACCCCACTGAATTGTACATTTTAAAGGGGTGAATTTTATGGTATGTTAGTATCTCAAAAAAGAAATGATTTTTTAAATTTACATCTTGAAATATTTTTGACCACCAAGGTAATATAAAACTTCTCCCCATGGTCTGTTTGGTGGTCACAACTTCCCAAGGACAGGATTTTTTTCCTTTCTTGTTTTACCTGGCATCAAGACAACTTTCCTTGCACTCCCTTCAAGGAGGTAGAGTGAGTTTTTCGCCCTTCTCGTGACATCACAGCCCTTTGTGGTCCCAGAATTAGCCTCTTAGCCTACATTGAATGAGCCCTGGGCTGACTTCCAACTATCCTTGGTGACATGCAAATATACCAAGTGCCTATTCAAATGCATCAAGTTTCCCCTGTTTAGCAAATGCTCTCAAGGCAAGTAAGACTTAAAGGCTCCTTTAGTCTCTCATACGTTTAGCTTTCTCTTAGATTTTGGCATGTTAATTCCTATCTTTTGAATTGTTTTTTTAAATACAGCATTCTTAGCTGTTCTCAGCTAAGGTTGTCCAATACCTCACAACTTACACTGTTCCCAAAATGCAAATCCTATATTTATTTTTCAAGTTAAAATTAATTCTAGTAAGTTAGGAAAGGATTTGCAGCCTGATATAGTCTACATTAGAGTAGCTTCAGTATTATTTATGACTTCAGGTGATTACAGTAGATATTTAAGAATTAAATAACACATTTTATTACTTTTTAAAAAGAAAAAAATTAAACATTAATTTGAGGAGCAGTCTAATTTAAAAGAAGCATGGGTGGATAACTTGTTCTCTCAAGTATCAAGGTTCTTTAAACAGCTAAAGTAAATAAGACTGTGGTAAGATACATAAACAGATCTGTTTTAGAAAGAGTAGCTTGGAAACGACCACACATGTATGGAAACTTGATCTATGATACTTGTAGATCACTGAAATGAAAAACAGAATATTCAGTTCTATAATGCTGGGAAAAACTGATTAGCCATATGGGAAAAAAAGAAACTGGACCCCCACTTCACACCATACAAAAATCAGTTCTACATGGATTAAGGACACAAATATGAAAGGCAACTTTTTAAATAGATTTTCTTTTTTAGAGTAGTTTTAGAATCACAGTAAAATTGAGAAGGTACAGAGATTTCCCATATACCCCCCTGCTTTTAGTAGAAAATATCAGACTATATTTTTATAATCTCAGGGAAGGTAAAGATTTGTTAAACAAGATGCCAAAAGCACAAACCATAAAACAAAAAGTTGACAGAGTCAACTATATTCAACTATATATAAAACGTGTTAATCAAAAGACACTATAAAGAAAGTAAAAGACAGGCTGCTCACTTGGAGAAAAAGAAATGTGCCACGTGCATAACTGACAAGGGATTCACATCCAGAATATATAAAGAGCTTCTATTACAGAAATCCATTTTTAGACCGAGTGCAATGGCTCATGCCTGTTAATCCCAGCACTTTGGGAGACTGAGGCAGGTGGATCACCTGAGGTCAGGAGTTCGAGACCAGCCTGGCCAACATGGTAAAAACCCGTCTCTACTAAAAATACAAAAAATTAGCCAGGCATGGCGGCATGCACCTATAATCCCAGCTACTCAGGAGGCTGAGACAGGAGAATCGCTTGAACCCGGGAGGCAGAAGTTGCAGTGAGCCAGGATCATGCCATTGCACTCCAGCATGGGCAATAAGAGCAAAACTCCGTCTCAAAAAAAAAAAAAATCTATGTTTTAAAGTAAAAAAACAACAACAAAAAAATGGCCAAAGACATAAACACCCACAAAACATAAACAATGAAAGGTTCAACATCATCAGTAATTAAGGAAATTTAAATTAAACCCCCAATGGGATACCATTTCTCACCCGATTGTCTAAAAGAAAAAAAATTCAGGTAATTACGAATGTAGAAGTGTCTTACATGTTGCTGAAAAAGGGAACAAAATGAACACTTACATCCCGCTTGTGAGGCTATAAACTGGTACAGCCACTTTATAAAACAATCCGGTGTTTTCCAGCAAAACTGAAGGTTTTTAAAACCATGAACACAAAGAGACATGAGTTAGAAGGGTCACTTAAAAACAGATTTTAATGGAAAAAAGTAAAAATTAAATTTAAAAGCAAAAAAATAAAAAAAAAGACTGAAAACATCCTAAATATCCATCCGCAGGATAATGGATAAAGAATGGTAAAGTCACACAATGAAATTATGCGCGGCAATAAAAAGTGAACAAACTACAACACATCAGCATGAAGGAATCTCACAGAATGTGCAAAAGCAAAGCCATAGGATTCACATAGTAGAATATCATTTATACAGAGTTCCAAAGTAGACTAAACAACACAGTGTTTGGAATGCATAGACATGTGGTAAAACCATATAGAGAATCAAGGAGAGTGGAAAGAAAAAGATATAATCAGGGAGAATACACAGGTTGGCTTCAAAAAATGTTGGTTATGTATATTTCTTAAGCAATACATAGGCACGGGGCTATTTATTTTATTTGTATTCTCTGAATCTGTAGATGTGTCAAAAGTACTATTTTGCACATATGAAATAATTTCTCATTTAAGAAGTAAATAAATACATGGTTGTGGTACAAAACATTAAAAATTCAGAAAACTATATGAATAAAATAAAAATTATCCATAATTATATTACCCTGAAATAACTATAGTATTTGAAGGAGGTAAATATACTTAAATGATGTGCCTTTCTTCTATTCTTTATTTTTATTTAATCTGTTTTAAAGCTTTACTGAGGTATAATTTACCTACAGTAAATTTCACATATTTAAAATGTATAATTAAATGAGTGACATACATACATATAAATACATACACACACATTGGTAGAAGCATCATCTCATCAAGAAAATGAATATATCCATCATCCCCTAAAGTTTCCTCATACTCCTTTTGGATCCATCCCTCCTTACTTTCTCTTTCCCCTACCCCCAAGTAACCACTGATGTGTTTTTCCATCACATTAGTTTGCATTTTCTAGAATTTTATTGGGTATATGTTTGGGCATAGCTTATGCATATGTTTTACTTTCGCAGACAATGCCAAAAAGTTTTCCAAAATGACTACACCAATTTACACTTCCACCAGCAGATTATGAGACTTCCAGTTGCTCCACATCCTCATCAACACTTGGTTGCCAGCCTTTTCCATTTTAACTATTCTTTTCATATTCCTAAGGAAAATACTCATAAAATGATTTGTCTGAACTCTTGAGCAACAAAAAAAAATCAAACTTTCAACGAAGACTGAAGTGAAACTCATTATACAGAAATTTTAATCTAAGAGCTTTTTCCCCTGAATGCATAATAATAATTGAAGCAAAGGCCCTAAATGATGTATGCCTCACAGATTCTGCTTTAGTCCCAACACCTGATTTCTACATAAGATTTTTAGAAGAACCATTGGGACATACGTAAAAGAACCGCATAACTTAAAAGCAAGTTGAGAACATCAACATATTGGAACTCAGGTAAAATAGAGTCCAACACAGTTTATATGTGTGACTTAAACACTATAACACCTGAACTCAATACACCAAACAAAACACCACTAAAATTGTGTTCATAATTTGGATGGGGCGGGGCATAACTACTTTACCACGAATAGTTCTTTTCAACATGCTCAGCTTCTTGCTCTCAGCTTCTGCTACTTAACCATGAGAGAGGAACAATGTTATGAAATGATGCACTTCGTTTTTAAAATTTGTAATTATTATGGATAACACAAAGGTAGTCTATCATCCTTATTTCTCTTTTTTCTTTTCTTTTCTTTTTTTAATCATCTCCCTAATCAATGGATCGCCTCTCCTTCTAACCTTTGTTTCTCAAAATACGGATTCTAAACTCACATTTACTTGTGAGTGCAGAATCACTATTCTCTCCTCAGATTCATTCAAACTTGGCTTCTACCCTTACACTGTACTTAAATTATGTCTGCTGAGGTTAAAGCCCCCATCCTAACTTCCAAAGACAATAGGCACGTAATCAGTTCTTGACTCCCAGATAGACTTCTCTCCTTGTTAAAACTCTCCTCTCCTGGCTTCTATGAGACCACTGCCCCCTAGATTTCCTCCTTTCCTGATGCTCTTCCTCAGACTCCTTGGCTGTCTCTACCCATCGCTTAATGCTGGTGTTCCCCATCCTTGGTCTTGCCCTCTTCTTACACTATACTTACTTGAATGATTTCTTACACCCTTACAGGATTAACCACCACAAATCCACTGCTGCTTCCAACATTTGTAAGTCTGATCTTGACTTCAGAAAACCTGATACCAATATATCTATTGGTATATATCCACTAGACAGCTATGCCAGATGTCCCGCCAGAATCTCAAACTCATTTTCTCTCCACCTGAATTAATCTCTCAATATTAGTTTTATTCGTAAATGCACAATTATAATTCATATGAAGTCAATAAAATACAAGATATACTTAAATTTTTCATGAAGGGTTAAACAAAGAATAAATTTGTATTATGGCCTCTTCCTCAGTTATGAAGGTAACTCATATTCATTAGCAAAAATTACAAAATACAAAAGAGATGATAAAAAGCAAATATCCCAGCTCTCAAAGGCAAGCAACATTACTCCCTCCTTCCAGAAAAAGCAATTTTTAACCATGCTGAAGTTACACATCAAAATATGAAACTGGTAAATGGATTTTGTTGTTGTTGCTAATTCTCAATATTTTCCAGGCTATGTTCTACAATATTAATCAGGGAAAACAAATTTCTATTAACTGCCTACCTAAAGGGAGAACTAGAATAATATTTCAATTACAAAAGCAATCCTTTTATATGCTGTATTTTAAATGTTCTAAAGAAATCAATGGTTTTGGCTTGGCATCTATCTTGTCTATACCCAGATGTCTATCGGTGTGCACTATAGCCCACAGTTCATCCACAGTATCTTCCTCTAAAGAAAACCATAGCAAAGGAAAACCTGGAAGAAATAGAAGTCAAATCTAAAACCTAGCTGGGTAGATTGTGGTTTGCAAACACCACAGTAAAGGGACACTTTTAACACCCTTTCGCCACTTCACAAAGTTTCAGAAACATCACAGGTAAAAACCCTCTGCGAAGCTCTTCTCATCAGACCCCGCCAGGGAAAGGAAATTCGCTTCTCTTTCCCCAGAGCCCAGAAACCACCTGGACGCGCCGTCGGAAGCCCGAGCACGGAGCAGGGAGCCGGGCGCCCGGCGCGCGGCCGTCCCCGCCTGGGCTGGGGTCTCCACC
This sequence comes from Homo sapiens, assembly GCF_000001405.40. Classification (NCBI taxonomy): domain Eukaryota; kingdom Metazoa; phylum Chordata; class Mammalia; order Primates; family Hominidae; genus Homo; species Homo sapiens. The sequence continues at coordinate 303,735 of NT_187598.1, forward strand.
GTCCCCGGTCACGGGTCCCCCTAGGCAGAGCCGCCCACCTGGCCAGCGGGGACCTAGCCTCGCCCCGTCGCCCACCCCTGGTGCCCTCCAGACCACCGCGCTTCCAGCTGTCGCGGGGCCTAAAGCTCTCTCAGGCCCCCGCGACACAGGCGTCGCTGAGGAGACGTGGGAACAGCCCCTGGGCCCCACCACGGCCCCATTTTAAAGAAAGTTAAAGACAAAAGAGACAGAACTGACACTCACCTCCAGCCCGCAAGGCGGGGCCGCCCTCACAGGCACCCCCCACAGCCCTGAGCGAGCTGCCAGGTGGGAGAAGCGCACCTGAGCCAAGCCACGCCGCGCCTTTCCCCGCCCGGGTCCCGCCGCCCTCCTCCGGGTCTCCACGTCCCACGCCCGCGCTGGGCCGGCGCCGCGCGGCCGCGGCCGGTTACCTGCTGGAGGCAGTGGGCGCTCTGCTGTCGCCGCCTGCGGGAACTGTGACTCCGGTCACCTCGCGCGGCCGCGCCTCGAGGTCCTGCCTTTCCCAGGGCCTCCCCTACCCTATCACTTACCCCCTCCCCTCCACTTCCCTCCCCGTACCCACTCCCACACCACCCACCAGGGCCGCCCCGCCCCTCGGGACGGGCGCTAAGGGGCGAGGCGAGGCAAGGCGGGGAGGGGCGAGGCAAGGCGGGGAGGGGCGAGGCAGGGCGGGGCAGGGCGGGGAGTGGAGTGGCGCAGAAGGGCTGGGCGCGGAGGGGCGGGGCCTCCCGCGTACCTGAGCCGCGCTGCGCCTGCGTCCTCCGCGACTCCGCGCTTGGCAGCCCCTTCCTGGGAAGGTGTAAAATGCCGCCAGGTGTGGGGTGTGTTTTGGGAGAAGAAGGGAGACAAGCGGTAGGAGGGGGAAGAGAGGGGAAGCTATTGGCCTGAGGAAACTTCTCTGACTTGGGGAGGCAGGGGCAGTCTTTCTGGCGATGTTTATGCACACTTTACTTAGAAGCGGAGTAGTCATGTTGTTACTTGACTTTTAGAGTTTTTATAAAAAGTCTATAAAGTCTTTGAGGATCAGCCCTGCTCTCTGCTTTTGTTGCTATCTGCTACTGCCTTGCCATCAATGGGTGTCTTGGAAAGAATATTAAATGTATCCACCACAGCACCTCACACCCCCGATTCTATGAGGGATCCCCTCTAACCCTGGTAAAGCGGGGGGCCTGGCCCTTTTCTCTGGGCTTCCTTGGTGGAAATCTCAACACTGCTTGGAAATGAGTTTCCTAGACTGTCTGATGAAGAATGGCTTAGCATTTTTTGTTTGTTTTGTTTTGACAGAGGTTCTGTCGCCCAGGCTGGAGTGTAGCGGTGCGCCCGTGGCTCAGTGCAGCCTCGACCTTCGGGGCTGAAGTGATCCTCCCACCTCAGCCCCTCCGCCAAGTAGCTGGGAATACAGGCGCGAGCCAGCATGCCAGGCTAATTTTTTAATTTTTTGTAGAGATGAAGTCTTATTATATGGCCCAGGCTAGTCTTGAACTCCTGGACTCACGTGATCCTCCCACCTCTGCCTCCCAAAGTGCTCCACCTCCCAAAGTGCTGGGATTACAAGCATTGAGCCACGGTGCCAGCCTGGGTGGTGGGACTGTAAAATTGAAAGAAAGGTTCATACTTTTCCTTCTGGAGAGCAGTCTTTCCCAGAGTGAGTTCTGTCCATCTCAAGGTCCTAGAGATGCTGCAGTGGGAGTAGGGGTAGATCACCAGATCACATTAATGTGGGGGAGAGAGACACAAAATATTTGTTTTCCTTGAGATTCACAATGCATACTAGCATTTTACAGGCATAAGAACCATGTTTTACTTTCTTTGATCCTGCATCTCCCAAATGTGTTTGACCATAGAACTCTTTTCTTGAGAAAGGCCTGTTTCCAATCTTGGGCATTAGTGTTTCAACAAACACTTTGAAAACCACTGCTTTCAACTCCTAGTACGTTCACATTTAATAATGTATCACAAATGTTTGCAAAGTTGTGCACTGTTCACACAAAACTTTCATGAGTCATCTCATTTAATCCTGGAAATTGCAATGTAGCTGTTATTATCTTCATTTTGCAGTTGAAAATATTTAAAGGTCAGACAACCAGTTAGTGGTTGCCCAAACATACAGTCAAGATTTGAATCTGAACTTTGAACTCCAAGGCGTTTTAGACTAATATTCATTCTGTCTCTCTCTCATTTGTTCCTTTTTTTTTTTTTTTTTGGGCAGGCTCTCACTGTTGCCCAGACTGGATTGCAGTGGCACAATCATAGCTCACTGCTGTCTCAAACTCCTGGGCTCCAGCCATCCTCCCACCTCAGCCTCCCAAGTGTGCTGGGACTACAGGCACATACCACCACGCCTGGCTAAATTTTTAAATTTTTTTATAGAGACAGGGTCATGCTTTGCTGTCCAGGCTGGTCTGAAACTCCTGGCTTCAAGCAATCCTCATGCCTCAGCCTCCCAAAGTGCTGGAATTACAGGCATGAGCCACAGTGCCCAGCTTCCCTTGATACCTAAGGAGAGCACATCCTTGGTTAGAAATCACTAGATTCATGTGTTAGTTGAATCTTCTCAAGGGCAAGACCATAACTTTTACTTCCTTGCAGCACCTGACTTAGTGCAGGGCACAAAAGTGTCATTGAAATGTGCTGAATGAATGAAGGAGGAATGAATGCTCAATAACTACTAATTGAAGTGAGCTGATGCTTGGTTCCTTAAATGAACAACTTTAACAAACTCTTCACTGATGCAGAAGTACCAAGAGCAGGAGCTCCCCTAATTGTTCCTAGTTTTCTTCCCTAGTCCATCTTAAAACATTTTCCTAGAAGAATCCTCTCTATTGACAGATACAGTTCTTGTAAAATCATGAAGCCAATTCCTTTGTTTTCCTTGAAATGGGCCTCCTTCCTGTTCTATCTGAGGCAAGGCTACTTGAATGGAGGATATTGTACACCTTTCTTTGTGCTCTTATTTCTAATCTCTTCCCACAAAAGGATCGTCCTCAAAATACTATGAACGGGTTTTTGTTTATTTTTTAATTTAGCAATTTTATATTATTTGAGGCCGATCTAAGGAGAAAAATAGACTGGTCAATATGGATAACGTGGCTGCTTAGATATTACTGTGTGTATCAATTCTTTCATTTGATAGAGACAAATCGCATAATTCCTACTCTAAACCCCTATTCATTCTTTATTTAATGCAGTTTAGAAGTGCTTTGTGACTCAGCCCAAGCCTACCTCTCCAGCCTTATCTCCCAGTATTTCCATCACACCTTTTTGACCTACTGAAGGAATTGCAGTTCCATAAACTGTCGAATTTGCACACACCATTCCCTCTACCCTTCTCTTACAGGTATCAACTAGCAAACTCATGTTCATCCAACCAAGATACCACCTCTTCTAGACAATGAAACCCCACAACACCCATTCCTGACTCAATTAGGTGCCATTTCCCAGCATAACCACCACAATCCATCTGTATCTCTATCATGGTGCCTACATCATAGCTGTGATTACTGGCTTCTTTTCCCACTTCCCTCTAGATGCATTCCAAGTGAGTTACCAATGGGCAGGAATGATGACTTCCACCTCTATTTCCTGAGCACACAGCATAGCACTTGATATAGAAGGCACTCAACAGTTTGTTGAATAAATGAAAACAGCTTTCAAAGAGTATAAATTCCTAGAGTGCTTGTGAAATAATTTTACAAATAAATGGTCATGAATACATTGGGGGTACCAGACAGATTTTTGCTTCTCTCAAAATTATTTCCTTCCCATTTTCTGCCTTAGAACATAACAGCAGAAGCCTATACATATTCATTCATTTCATGTATTTGTTCAAAAAATATTTCTGAGTGCCTGCCATGTAACAGGTGCAGTACTAGGCACTTGCTTCAGAGAGGAAGTGACATTTCAAAAGTGTCATGGATGCTCACCAAACCTCAATTCCTCTCCCTGGGCATGAAGCTAAACTGCTTTGCCTAGCCACTCCCCTTGCATCTAGGTAAGGTCATGTGGCCAGTTCTGACCAATGGAATTTGAGCAGAAATAGAGTTTCACTTCTGCATCTAGGCAACTAAGAACAGGTGAGCCTTCACCCCACTGTCTCCCTCTTTCCATTCCATGACAACCTTGGACTAAACCATGCTAACCATTGCTAAAGCTCACAATACGACAAGATGGGAGAAATGTCTGGGTCCTTGATTGGCTTCATAGAACAAAGCTCTCTCCACTGCCCACTAACTTTGATTGGATGGTGATGTGAGTGAAAAATATATTTTATTGTGTTAAACCACTAATATTTGGGGTTTTTTTCTAACACCTGGATTTACTTACTCTGATAGGCACTGTCATGAATGATGACATATAGATTACATTAAACATACCAAAAAAATGTTTCTCATGCTGTAGGCATTCTATGGGAGACATAGAACATGAAAATTTATCAAAGAGCTTATTAAGGTCATAGAAACTTTAAGTTTGTCCCAAGTAGATAAAGAAAAATCTTTATGGATACATAGCTTTCTGTCTCTCAGATGGCCACCTTATCAGAATGCTGACATCTTGACCTGAAAACAAGCACAGAGTCACCATTATGCCTTCTTCATCATCTTTATCTGCACTTCTCTGTCTCTTTCATGCACTTTGAAGGGTTTCCCTGAGTGGGCTTCAGGAGATCCAGTGTTACTCAAAGTCTAGTATATATTCAGGAAAAGAGAAAAATAAAAAGGCTAGGCTCCAAAAGGTCTTGAATAGCTTACTAAGGAATTTGTCCATTAATCCACAGGATACATAGTTGAATAAGCTAGGAACTATTTGTAGTGAGAAGAGTTGCTTTTTTCTTTTTTCTTTCCCTCCCTCATCATCTTACCTGGATAACTGTTACCCACTAAACTAAGGTAACAATGGGATAATGGGTGGTCACAGATGCTCCACCAGGAGAACTAATCATGAGAGTCTCATTTCTCAGTGCCCTCCCACAAAGCCCTTCCTCAAAACACCCATCTGCCTCCTCCAAACCCCAATAATCAATGAAACTTCATAGCACTAAAAGGCTGACACAGTTGTATTAGAGGTGTAAATGAGAAATATTCAGCACCTAGAGCAGGAGGCAATAGCACCAGTGGGGTCAAAGGAAATCTGTGAAGGAGGAAACAAAGAGAGAATCCAAAAACAAAAGAAGGTTTTCCACCAACCACATGATCAACTCACCCAGGCTGAGTAGCTGGTCCAAAGAGGATGACAGCACATGAAACTGCTCAGGATTCAAGAACAAAGGCTCCCAGACTCACTGAGAAGAGCAGAGAAACATCTAAACCCCTATTTCTGTGACCTCTGTATGGACTGGAAGAAATGACTCAAACCTGAAGCAAATGACCCTGCATTCTTCTGGACCCACATCAGCTTGCTTAAGTTGGAACTCCATTTCCCCAAATTTATTTCCCTATATGGTTCCAAGTTAGGTTGGCCAAAAAGAAGAATTGAGGCAAGATTTGGAAGGTGAAAGTGGAGCAGAGCCACTCCCTCTGAAGATCCTCATGACTACACGTGGTGGCAGACACACACAGAGATTCTGGGAGGTTCTTGCTCATCCTCCTCCTCATGTCTAGCTCTTCTTCCCAACTCTAGTCCCTGCTGGCCAGAGGACCCAAGATGACTTGAGAGCTTGGTGGGAGACCTCCAGAAGTGGCAGCTATGTATGGACTTTTCCACAGCCCCCCTCCTGGGTACCACTCCAGCAGTTAGACATGTGCGGCTTCCTAGAATCATTGCAAGTTCTGGCCTTACAAGTCCACCTGTACAGGGCTTCAGGATGGCTGGCTAGTGACTTTTCTCTAACCCTTCAATTCCACTTTCAGACCTTTACTTCACCAGTTTCTCACATAATTCTGCAAGAGATTAGTCCCATTATCAGTAAGACTCTAGTGGTTCTGCTTCCCTGATTAAACCCCTCCAATACATCATTCATGTTCTTGGCTACCTAGCAATAAGATTATGCAGATTGTACCATCCATCCTTCCCTTCCACCTTTTTTTTTTTTTTTTTTGAGACAGGGTCTGGAGTGCAGTGGTGCGATCATGGCTCACTCCAGCCTCCACCTCCCAGGCTCAGCTGGTCCTCCCATCCCAGCCTCCTGAGTAGCTGCGAGTATAGGCATGCCAACACACCCAGCTAATTTTTTGTATTTTTTTGTAGAGACAGGTTTTTACCATGTTGCCCAGAGACAAGGTTTCACCATGTTGCCCAGGCTGGTCTCAAACTCCTGGGTTCAAGCCATCTGCCCACCTCGGCCTCTCAAAGTGCTGAGATTACAGGCATGAGCCTCCACGCCTGACCTCCTTCCCCTACACTATTAAAGGCCAAGTGCTGAAGTTATTTATCTATAGGAACTACAGAAATTTGGGTAAAAATTATGCCCTAGTAGTGGTCTCCCCATGAGAGGGTGACTGGTTGCCCACTGCCTTCACACTGAATTTACATAATAGAACAACTGACTTTCAGCTTTTCGAGCTTAGAAACTTGTTCCTTTTCTCTTTTAGCATACTGAGTAAATCTCTCTTGAAGAAGGAAGTTTGGTCAGGCTCACCAGAAGTAGACAATAGTATGTCTGTCTATTAATATAGAATGAGAAATAGGATTGTTGCAAGGCCCAAACATGTATCTTACTGCCAAAACACTATGCCCTGAAGAAATAGCTATCCAGGAAGCTAAATGATAACCAAACGGTTGCCTGATCAGGGAAATGGAATGAAAATTAGGAGAGTTGGGAGGAATATTGAGCGTTAGCGTTGAGATATGATAGCTACCATCAATACCACAGAAGGGACTAACCTGTCACAGTTGCAGATAAGCTATGTGGTTCCACTTACTGGAGCCACAGTCCTAGTCATATTCCTTCTTTTTAGTAGGTTACAGTATTGGCCCCAGGACTTCATCATGCACTGTATCCATGCCCTTTGCTACGACTTTGAAGTTCCTTCCACTGAAGGAGTGGAGTATATTTCCCTACCCGTTGATTTTGGGTTCAGCCACATGATTTGCTTTGGTCAACAGAATGAAATGGAAGTAATCGTGTTCAGTTCTGCACTTAGGCCTTAAGAGACTTCATGTGTTTCTGCTTGCCTTCTTGTACTTCTACCAATGCTAGAAGACTTCCCTGGGCCAGCCAGCTGCTCCAAGGAGGGTAAGACACCCTAAAGCAGAGTCATGCCAGGTAAACCCAGCTGAGAACAGCTAATCCCCAGCTGCCCAGCAAGCGTGAGAAATAAAAGATGATTTTTTTTTTGTACCATGGCATTTTGGGAATATTTGTTACATAGAAATAGTTACCTGACATGTCCTCCCACCATGATTTTCTGGAATGGAGAATATCTAACCCCATCATGACCCCAGAGTTCCAGACCAATGTGCCCAGGACTCCCCTCTCAAGTCACTGGGCAGCACCAATTTAGCCAATAGTAAGTTAGAGGATTCAGTTTCTCACCCTCAATACAATTCACTTGAAATTTTCTGTCCTTTGGGTTAGATATAAAATCTAAATATTTTTTAATAACAGAGATGAGAAAGATTTAACAACTTTTCAGAAAGTTACTGCTGAATATTAGTGATTGTACATGCCACTCAAAATCACTGTGTGAAATAACATTCGAAGCCTATCATTTGTAACTTCTGCTTTCATCAGAGTTTTAGGAAAACACCTACGCCCAGCAAAATCCCCAGGGAGTTTTAGGACGCCAAAGCTTTCCTCATCTGTTTTTAAACCCACTCCACATCCATAAAGATAATTCATGAATAAATGTGGTTGGCAGATGAACCCAATATTCAAGGACATCTTTTTTAAGCCTTTAGTTAAGACCTTTGGTTTATTAGTTTACACGTTAGTCTCTCTATGAATTAGAAGTGGAGGGAGGGGCTCAAAATGCTTTATAATCCTATTTTTTTTCAGACATTCCCTCTTTCTCCACCACTCCCAGCCTTTCACTATCTTCCTCCACCCTTCTAGCTTATGAAGGGACTAATGATGTTGGGATAGTTTTTGAGGAAATGTGGGAGCTCTGTAATCCATTTCCTACTTGACGTGGGTTACATTTTTACCAGAAGAAAGGAAAAAAAAATGCAAATATATTTCCAGCACAGTTGGGCGGCAGCTCCATAAAGTGGCTTTTAAAGAGTTATCCCATTGCCCTGAGAGTTGACAGCACTCCAGGGAGGGGACAGGGTCTGTGAGGGCCAGAGAGGCATACCCTTCCATTCCTAAGTAACATCCCCCCAGGAAACAATTTGGCGTTTCCTACAAAACATGAACTTGTTTGGCAGCCTGAGCAACTCATCACTCCTGTTCATCTCATATTGCTTGCCTGATTAATAACAATGACATAGTGAATACAACTTCAATAGGAAACGGGGGAGGAAGAGCCAAACAACATCCTTGCCAAACAAACGCACATGCCCACAGACTCACACACCCCAATATATAAAGCCACTCTTAAAATGTTGGGAAATATAAAAATGTTTCCATCAAAACCATCTTATGGGCCCAACGTGGTGGCTCACGCCTGTCATCTCAGCACTGTGGGAGGCCGAGGCGGGCAGATCATGAGGTTAAGAGATCAAGACCATCCTGGCCAACATGGTGAAACCCCGTCTCTACTAAAAATATAAAAATTAGCTGGGCATGGTGGCACATGCCTTAGTCTCAGCTACTCGGGAGGGTGAGGCAGGAGAATCGCTTGAACCCGGGAGGCGGAGGTTGCAGTGAGCCGATATTGCACCACTGCACTCCAGCCTGGGCGACAGAGCGAGACTCTGTCTCAAAAAAAAAAAAAAAAAAAAAAAAAAAGCCACCTTATGTTACTGGCAGGGACCAGGGTCAAAGATTACTTCCTTTCTCCCATCCAAATAGTACATCAACATACTTGGGGATGACAATAGCTGTCATTCTTCATGGACCTACTACGTGCCAAACACTGTGTTAATGGTCCATATAAGTAAGTGTGTATACATTGGCTGGGTGCGGTGGCTCATGCCTGTAATCCCAGCACTTTGGGAGGCTGAGAAGGGGGTGGATCACTTGAAGCCAGGAGTTTGAGACCAGCCTGGCCAACATGGCGAAACCCCGTCTCCACAAAAATTAGCCGGGTGACGTGGCGCACACCTGTAATCCCAGCTACTCGGGAGGCTGAAGCAGGAGAATCACTTGAACCCGGGAGATGGAGGTTGCAGTAAGCAGAGATGGTGCCACTGCATTCCAGCCTGGGCAGCAGAGTGAGTGAAACTCCATCTCAAAATAAATAAATAAATAAATAAATAAATAAATAAATAAATATGTTTATACGTCTAGTCTAATTCTTGCAACAACCATTTAAGAATTAGTAGGCATTATCTAGGCATTACAGATAAGTAACTTCTCCAAGATCACAAAGAAGTAATGGTACAGATTGGATTTGAACCCAAAGCTATGTGTGACTCTAAAGCTCAAGCTCCTTTTGTTAAGTCACAGATTTAGTTGGTAAATTGTAAAGCCTAGACTTAAGGTTGTTTCCTTACTCAAAGCCCATTGGAATTGTCATCTCTTCTGTGGGTCCTTGACTTGTTCTGGACAGAATTCTGATGGTTACAAGTAACAGAAAACCTCTCCAATTAGCTCAAGTAAAAGGCAGGGAATGGTATTCTATTCCTACCCTTACTTTGGGTAAGGGAACATATATGGGAACATATTCAGAGAACTGAACAAGCAGGCATCAGAAAGTGCAGGACCTAAGGTAGCCCAGACACCCCTCAGCCTCGCATTCCATGAAGACTGCTTCTTTTTGCACACCTGCACATCCCAATCAGCTTATCTGAGTCACCAGTCTCTCAAAGCTGCAGTCTACACCTGATTCTCTAATTACTTCCTCAATGGTATATCTATCCAGCCTCTGGGCTCAGGAGCCACCACCTTAGAAGTAAGTGCTTCTCCCTTCCCAGTTTTCTGGGAGAGGAATCTGATTTGCTCAGCTCATATTTTCCAGTCAGGCCACACACAAGGTACAAATTGCTGGCTAGTCTATGGTTGGGCACCCGTTGATCAGATGTTTACCCTGGTCCACTTCAGAGGTAGCTGGGGAGAAGAGGGTCAAGGGATCTGCTGCTGCACCTCTGGGCAGGGAAGTACCCTGAAATCCAACAGATAGACGCTCAGCTTTTTCTCTCCTTTCTTTCATAAGACTGTCACACCTGCATTAGGATTGGATTTTAAGTAGCCTCCCATTGCTCTCCAACTGCCCTCTACTTATTTTCTAGATTCTTACAGTAACATCTTATTGGGGTTCTATCTGCAATGGCCTTATCAGAGTGCTAAAAACACAGTGGACACTAAAAAATGATTTGTTGTATTTAGGTAGAGTTCATCGTGGAGAGGACCAAGACAGAAGATCAAGAAGAATTTTTTTTTTAATCTCTTCCCTTGTCCACCGAAAGACCATCAAAACTAGAGAGAGATTATCAAATGCCTGGTGACAAGTCCTCGGCTGCACTGGCTTCACAGGAGCTTATGTGGAGAAGAAAAAGAATTTGAGCCACAGCAACGAAACTCTAAAGTTGTTTCCAACTCTCTTACCAAAAGAGGCATCCAGCCCAACAGCTCTCAACCTGGAGTAAAGCTCCCACGTGCCCTGTGGAGCATCCTCGCTTTGATTCCATCCCTTTACTCCCATTCAGAGAATTCTACTTGAATTTAAATAAATGACTCTTCTGCTATTATTGTGGTAAGCTTGATTCTGCTGTGATTTGAAAAGAACAAAAAATAAATTATTGCAAAACCTTTGTATTAAATTACTGGTAACAAATTACTGGTAACTTTGCTACAATTGGCATTGTGACTGAGGGCTGTTCGTTAAGGACATTCTGCTGCCCATGGCTGAGGTGACACTAACTGTATCAACAAGGATGTTTTCAGCCCCAGATAAACAGAAAACCCATGAAAAAGGATGCTTTCAGCCCCAAATAAATAACAGAAAACCCAATTCGAATGGTCATAAAAACAAGGAGGCCAGGCGCGGTGGCTCACGCCTATAATCCCAACTCTTTGGGAGGCCGAGGCAGGCGGATCACCTGAGGTCAGGAGTTCAAGACCAGCCTGGCCAACGTGGTGAAACACCATTCTACTAAAAACTACAAAAATTAGCCAGGCGTTGTGGTGGGCGCCTATAATCCCAGCTACTCAGGAGGCTGAGGTAGGAGAATTGCTTGAACCCGGGAGGCAGAGGTTGCAGTGAGCCGAGATCACGCCACTGCACTCCAGCCTAGGTGACAGAGCAAGACTCCATCTCAGAAAAAAAAAAAAAAGGAAATGTTTTAGTTTCTGCAATGGTTTAAATCGTCCACAGTTCTTTGAAACTCCTTTCAACAAAAGCTGGAACCTGTGTCCTCTGAACTGCATCTAGGCTAACCATAGTGACTGGTCAACCAGCAAAGTAGATTGGAAATGATGCTATGTGATGGCCAATGCTAGGTCAGATAAGGTGATGCAGTTTCTACATAGTTATCTTTGTGTGCTTACTCTTGGAATCCAGCTACCATGCTCTAAGGAAGCCCACACAGTTTGTGGAGACCCAAATGAAGAGGGCCACGTAGAAAAGAATAAGGCCCATGACCTTCACATCTGACTGAGCCAGCATTGACTTTCCAGTTTGTGAGGGAGCCGTCTTGGAAGTGGATCCCCCTGGTCCTGGCTAAGCTTCCCCACCTGACCCCTTGTGGAGCAGATATAAGCCTTTCCCACTCAGCCCTGCCCACATTGCAGATTCATAAACTAAATAACGATAAAATGCTGTTGTTTTGAGCCACTGTTTGGGAAAGGTTTGTTGCACAACAATAGATAACTAATATGGTTAACCTATGAGGAAATCCAAAGATAGATCAGCCTTCAGAGTCATTGATTTGCAATTCAACCATTTAGCATTGAGTGTTTTCCTTCCCTTTTCTCTGTTCTGCATTATGTAAGTTTCATCCTAAATCTAGTTCCATTTGTGGTTGTAGAATGGCTACCAGGGGAAGACCCTCCTCCTTCAATTCAGGTGAAGAGAATAGAATGAATTCCCCTGGAATGCTCTTAAGAGAAAGTAACTTTCCAAGAAGCCAGCAAACCTCTTATCCCTTTGGCCAGAATTAGGTCACATGCTTATTTTTGAACCAATACTGGCAAAGAGGATAAGATATCATTTTGACTAATCAGGCCTATCCCTTAAATTGAGACCAATTTCCCAAACCACATGGCTGCTGCTTATGGGATAGAATGGATGTTGGGAAAGTCGCTTCACCAAGTTAAGATATCTGAAAGAAGGGACAGGTAAATGAGAAAACCCTCAGGTGGTGGCCAGCCCGGGCACATAACTAAGAGAAAACCCACAGGATTAGGAGTATCCTGGGTAAGCCAGTCGAGGGTCTAGCATGATACAGATTGTCTACTTTCAAGACCCATGTGACTGCAGACCTTCCCTTTATCCCCTTTTCTGGCATCTCCCATTTTTGTTACCTGTCTTACCTTCATCAGCCATCTGCGTATTTATTCCAGCTCCCTTGCAAGTGTCAGCCTAGTGGGAGGAAAATGCACTATCCAACTTCTGGTAACTTTATTCCAATTTCTCTCTGAAGAAAAACCTCCTGACATATGTAAGGGTTGGTGTCATTATTTTTCCCATTTTTGCCAATGAAATAGCTAAGGCTTTATGATAGCCTTGGGAAGATTACTTCTCCCTGGATCCGTCTACTCACATGAAAAATGAAGGGAGTAGACCAGAAGATTAATAACCTCTTGAGCTCCAGGAGTTTCTGTACTCTTACTCCTATCTTTTCCAAGATGACTACAGCCATGCCTGAAAATTCGTATCATTTGTTGCTGCAATGCTGTATGCCTAGCTCTTCATAGTCATCATCTCCCCAACATTCACTATTTTGCTTTCACCGCTTTGGGCCATCTGCAAATCCTGCCTTCCTTTTTCACTTTCTGGGCAGGATGTCACTAAAAGTAATGAGGATTCCTTAGTTTTACTACGTGGCTTTTTCCTGTTTCTACCTTTGACCTTGTGCTGCCACCTTTAAACACAGCACAACAGTGTAGTGGAGTTCAGCAAACATTTAATTTCCAGAAATTTAATAGGATATTTCCTGAAAAAACATTTGTGTGAATTAAGTGTAGGAGACTCAGAGTCGACATCTGCTTTTAGTCTCATCATGAGGACCACTCTTCCTCCATTCCAAAGTTGCGTGGCTGCTGTGATTTCCCACTATTTCACTTCCCCAGTAAGAGTTGATTGGTTCATGAGATGGTATCTAACCCAAGGCGGTCAATCAAAATCCTTCCCTAGAATTTGTTTTAAAACTGTAACTAGAAAAAAAAAACAGTCCTCTTTATAGTGACACAAGACACTTTGGTGGCCACGTTTCCCAGGTAGAACAGGTCAATCCATAATAAAAGACAGTGAAGTTGATGTGCTGAGAGAAGTAAAGATAAGAGATGGTGAAGGATTCCAAAGGCATTAGATTTCTTGGTTGCATTCTTGGTTGAATTCACCTCTACTTTTCCCCTAGTACTAGTACACAAATCACACCAGGTATAAGCCCATAAATAATATATTTTGCCTAAGTTAATACATGTTTAGTTCTTGTCACTTAAACACAAGAGATTTAATATGAGTACTCAGAAAACTGTGTCCCTCTAAGATTCTTTGGAACTGAGTCTTTAGCATTTTTATTCGACTATGATTTGCATAAATGTTTATTTTCTTTAATTGCTTGCCTCTGAGTATTTGTTTATGGCATTAAAGATGGGGTTTAGAGGCCAGGCACAGTGGCTTACCCCTGTAATCCCAGCACTTTGGGAGGCCAAGATGGGTGGATCACCGGAGGTCAGGAGTTTGAGACCAGCCTGGCCAACATGGTGAAACCCTGTCTCTACTAAAAGTACAAAAAATTAGCTGGGCGTGGTGGCATGCGACTGTAATCCCAGCTACTCGGGAGGCTGAGGCAGGAGAATCACTTGAACCTGGGAGGTGGAGGTTGCAGTGAGCCCAAATCACACCATTGCATGCCAGCCTGGGCAACAAGAGTGAAACTCCATCTCAAAAAAAAAAAAAAAAAGATTGGGTTTAAAAAATGGGATTTAGAGGCAGAAAACCTGAGTTGAAGTTCTGGCATTAATACTTTTTAAACATGGTGACAGTGCAAGAGCCTCCCTGAGCCTCAATCTCTTTCCTAAAAAAAAAAAGGGATAATTATAATTGTTGCCCTAGCAACCTCTCAGAGTCATGATGATAATCAAAATAAGAAAATGGGGAGGGATGGGGCCATATTCATCTTTGCATTTCTAATGTCTACTTTAAAGCCTAGGACAGTATAGTACATACTGAACAAATATTTGGTGAATGAAAGAAAAAACACAAAAGCATACACTATAAAGCGGGGGTCCCCAAACCCCAGGCCACGGATCAGTACCAGCCTGTGGCCTATTAGGAACCAGGCCACACAACAGGAGTTGAACAGCAGGTGAGCGAGTGAAGCTTCATCTGTATTTACAGCCTCTCCCCATCACTCATATTACCACCTGAGCTCTGCCTCCTGTGAGATCAGTGGCAGCATTAGATTCTCATAGGAGCACAAACCTTACTGTGAACTGCGCACGTGAGGGATCTAGGTTTCATGCTCCTTATGAGAATCTAATGCCTGCCCAGGCACAGTGGCTTACGCCTGTAATCCCACCACTTTGGGAGGCCAAGGCCGGCAGATCATGAGGTCAGGAGTTCAAGACCAGCCTGGCCAACACTGTGAAACCCCTTCTCTACTAAAAATACAAAAATTAGCCAGGTGTGGTGGCAGGAGCCTGTAATCCCAGCTACTCAGGAGTCTGAGAGAGGAGAATTGCTTGAATTCAGGAGGCGGAGGTTGCAGTGAGCCGATATTGCACCACTGCACTCCAGCCTGGGTGACAGAGCAAGACTCCATCTTGGAAAAAAAAGAAAAAAATATCTAATGCCTGATGAGCTATCACTGTCTCTCACCACCCTCAGGTGGGACCATCTAGTTTCAAGAAAACAAGCTCAGGGCTCCCACTGATTCTACATTATGGTGAGATGTATAATTATCTAATTATATATTATAATGTAATAATAATAGAAATAAAGTGCACAATAAATGTAATGTGCTTGAATCATCCCAAAACCATCCCCTCACCCCTAGTCCATGGAAAAATTGTCTTCCACGAAACTGGTCCTGCTGCAAAAAGATTGGGGACCACTGTTCTGAAGGACTATTTAAATGCGAATTATATAATGAAGACCACTTTACAATAATACAGGGTGTGTATAAATATTAACACTGGCAACTTACGTTGGTCTTGGGCTGAATGACAATTTCAGTGTCATGAACAGAGCTTCCTATAAACAAGCTGTAAAGTGAGTGGAATTTGTGGACAGTACCTCTCCAACCTTTCTTTGGTTGTTCTCCCTCTGTGTGGTCTAAATAGAGTGTCAAGGTGTGTCTGGTCCCAAGTTCTGTAAGTGGCCAGTGCTCTAGAGCTGTTTGATGCTGTTGCCGTAGCGTCGGAATGAAGAAGGAAGTTTTAAAAATCACCTAAGGCTCTTTCACTTATAATTAGCACATAAACTTACCTGTCCCTTTGAAGTATCACAATGGCTGAGGCTCTCACAAAATTCTCAGGCTGAAAATTGCCTATTTATAACTTCTTTTTCTCTTCCCAAATGCCTATGTAAAATTATTCAAAGAAGACATGCAGATCCAAGAAGCACACTAGCCTGGTGCCATTCAGCATATGGGCAAACAGACCTCCACACTGTATTATGCCACCAATGTTTATCCTGGATCATCATGAAGTAAAACTCTATACGTGGTGGAGTCTAGCTACTAAGACAAAAAGTGGTCCACACTTTATTTTTAGCATCCATCAAAATAACTAAAGTTATTTAAAGGTTTAGTGCTTCAAAAAGTATTTTCTGAATTATCTGAAGTACATTTCCCAAAATGATTCATTTTCTAACTATTCAAGATGGCCTTAGTTTTCAAGTATCATTGCTCATTCAATGCTTCAATAAGTTAATCACAGGTACTAGATTCCCATAATGTAAATTTCACAATCCTTAACATTGTACTTGTGAAAACAGACAGTCTCTCAGCAATAGGCATACTCTATTGGAATAAAAATGCGGCCAAGCGCGGTGGCTCACGCCTGTAATCCCAGCACTTTGGGAGGCCGAGGCGGGCAGATCACCTGAGGTTGGGAATTTGAGACCAGCCTGAACAACATGGAGAAACCCCGTCTCTAGCTAAAAATACAAAAACCTTAGCCGGGTGTGGTGGTGCATGCCTGTAGTCCCAGCTACTCGGGAGGCTGAGGTAGGAGAATCGCTTGAACCCAGGAGGCGGAGGTTGCGGTGAGCGGAGATCATGCCATTTCACTCCAGCCTGGGCAACAACAGTGAAACTCCGTCTAAAAAAAAAAATGCTCTGCCTCACTAGCCTTAACTTTTTCAATCGGGAAACCTGCCTTTGATCACATTTCCTAAAGCAAAGATTGTTGTGAAAGAATAGAGTATCAAGAATTTTTGAATTTTGTTACCCCCACCAATAGATCACTAACTGGTTGTTTAAAGCAAATGATCTCCCACTTTCCTACCTTAATAGATGTAATATAATGTGTGTGCTTTAATCTTAGCTTGACCAGTAAACCATACCATGTCAAGAAATTTGCATGACATGTTTGAGGAACAGTGAGAGGGCCAGACCCACTGGAGCAAGAGAAAGAGAAAGAGAAGGGTAGGAAGAGAGGGCAGAAGAACATGGGGTAGAGTTGGCCAGGCATAGTGGCTCACGCCTGGAATCTCAGCACTTTGGGAGGCAGAGGGGGCAGATCATGAGGTCAGGAGATCGAGACCATCCTGGCTAACACGGTGAAACCCCGTCTCTACTAAAAATACAAAAAATTAGCCAGGCGTGGTGGTGGGTGCCTGTAATCCCAGCTACTCGGGAGGCTGAGGCAGGAGAATGGCGTGAACCTGGGAGGCAGAGCTTGCAGTGAGCTGAGATCCCGCCACTGCACTCCAGCCTGGGCGACAGAGAGAGACTCCATCTAAAAAACAAACAAACAAACAAACAACGACAACAAAAACACAACATGGCTGTTATTAAACATTTGCTGCTACTCTAAATAGGCTGAGAAGCCATTGGAGAGTTTGGAGTTGAGAAATGACATGAACTGATTTCACCTTAGTACAGATCACTCCAACTGTTGGGTTGAGAATAGAATGGAAGGGACAGGGGCAGAGGTGAAGGCAGAGGGACCAGGTAACTGATTCTGCCTATAATGAAGGTGAGAGAGGAAGGTGGCTGGGACTCAGGGTGTAGGAGTGAAGGTGCCAGGTATGAGGGTTAAATGATATATACACAGCATAATAATTGGCACAGTCAGTCCCCAGTAGATGTTCACTGCGATAATGGCATTCTGAACCCCAAGACTCAATAGTAGATGGTTGGTTCATTGCATGGCAGACCCAGGTAAGTGATTACAAACTAGATAGTTGATGTCAGAATTAGAAAAGGAACTTTTTGAACATTTCTGCATGTATCAATTGAAGTGAAATTGAGTCAAAAGTAAGAGTTCATGCTGCCCTTCACTGAATTCTCTGCTTGGATTTTTTTTTTTTTTTAAAGTACACACACACACACACACACACACACACACACACACACACAATCTGTGATCAAAAAAGTTATTGAAGTGCTGCAGTTGCCCAGAATTCAGCCTGACCTTGCAGCACTCCTAGTTATTAAAAATCATTTCTATGGGCTTGCATTTTTTGGTTTAACAAGCACAAGAGGCCATGAACTCTTAATATCTGAAGCAAACGTGTTAAACATCTGGGATCTGGCATAAGCTTCTCCTGTGGGATGCATTGTTTGTGCAAACTTTTATTGAATTAAAAAAAAAAGTAAGTACTGAGTTTCAAAATATTCGTGTAACCTAGTAAGAATATTTCTCTGAATCCAGAGTCAAAATACAGAGTTTTAAAAACTGATTTATAAACTTAAATTTAAAAATAGGTTAGAAGTCTTAAAACACAGCGTGGTTTTGAAGTGGAACCAAACTTCAGCTCTAGCTCTAACAGGAGATGGCTGATCTAAGTTAAATAGGTTTTTCCAGGCTAAAGGCACAGCTTCTGACCACTCTAAGAAAGCCATAGGGTTTGCAGACAGGGTACTGGCCTAGAGTTTAGGGCAAGTTCTGTGGCTTAAACACAGATAATCTTGGGCAACTTACTTTACCCTGGGCTTGATTTTCCTTATTTCCTATAGAAACTGGAAGGAAAAATACTTACCCATGGGTCTTAGAAATGTACGAGGATAAGAAATAAAATAAAATAGCAAGTGACAGAA